>NT_187504.1:0-158759 GCF_000001405.40 Homo sapiens | reverse complement strand
GAATTCATTACTGAAACAATGTATACATTTCAGACTAGGAAAGTAACTATTTATAAAAGAAAAGCTTAAAACCTGAAGCAGAAACAAAATCCTGAAACTGTAAAATTCAGTCAAACTAAAATTTAAAAAACAAAGTAATGATATAAAGTATCATTTGTCCAAATGTGTTCTACAAAACGCTTTTTTCTTAAATATGTCTGATGAAAAACAGGTTCTAGGAGTAAAATATGTTTGAAAAATGCTGGGTTAAACAACTGAACCTATGAAGGAAGGAATAGAACGTCTCAAGCTCTTCACTCTGGAATCTTTTTTACACGGCAATTAACACCATGCTTCTTCTTGGATTTGTATTTCAGATAAACACAATCTGGGAAATATTTTATAATACAGAGGGCCACACCAGATTGAATATTGCCCCCAGGAATGAAATGAAAACAGGAATGGATTCTCCAGTAAGAGGTACCCAGATATCCTAATCTTCAGTAGCTGACCTAAACCCTGGAAAAGTGGGATCAAACCCCATAACCAAATACATCTTTTTAGGAACTAAGTGGATAATCACTCTGTGTTGTATGAACATGTGGGCAGTGTGTTTCCTACACAGCTTAAAAGTGCAACAAAAAAAGATCTAGGTGTCATATAATTTCTACCACTGTTAGGGTAATGGTGGACTGACAGGCAGAGGGTCTTAGATGTGACTTAAGTAAAGTTCAATAGAAGCTTCCAGCACACATATTCATGTTTCGAATTGGACAGCTCAGTTAAAAAGTTTTCCCATTAGACTTCCCCTAATCAAATTAGAAATGATCTAATTTTCTAATAAAGTTTTCCCCAGGCACAAGGAATCTGTGAACTGGACCTAAAAAATTCTTCATAATGTGCTTTTATTACCATAAAAGATGCACATTTATTTTAAAAACTTCTCTACACCACTATCATAAGCCTTTGCACACACTTATTTCTTTTGGAAGCTAACTTCTGAGTGGTAATGAAATACATTCTTAAGAAAAAAATCTGACACAATGCCTTTGCATCTTAAAATATGTTAAAATATTATTTGAAAAGAGTCAAACATCTGTGTTTTCAGGGTATCACAGGGCGTCAAACTGGAAAATGTGGCACTGCCAGGAGTTTCTACCTGGTGAAGGGTGGCAGACTTTTCTCTTCAGAGGGCTCTTGACAGGGTAGTATCCATTATCTTGCCAATTTACCACAACCTAGGCCCAATCCTCAGTCTTATAGGTTCAGAAATTTATTTTTATCGGCATCAATAGGGTAGCTACATTGCTTAGAAGCAAACAAAAATAACCATGCTTCAATAGAAATCAGGGTATAGATGTATTAATACAGAATGACAAATATAACTGTGACAGAAATAGGAATGCCTGTTTATGGTCATATATGGCCAATACTTTCATTACAGCCAAACTCATACATGCAGACAAATAAGAGGCCTCTGGATACACAGGGAATCAGAATAAAAAAAGAAGAACTGAACATTTAATAGTCTTCTTTCATTCAATCAATAATTTTTTTTAATTAAGAAACTACTATGTCCAGGTAACCTTCTAGGTCCTGGGGATACAGAGGTCTCGGCTTACAGAAGTCATATGTAAGTAGCAGGTGAAGAGTATGTGTTTCACAGAAGTTTATTACAATATATTAACAAGAGCAAAAAATTTTGGAAGCAATCTAAATGTTCAATAATAGAGCTCCAATTAAATAACAATAAATCCAAATAATGAAAAATAATGCAGCCTGTTAAGAATAAGCACTTGCAAGCCGTAATTCATGACATGGGAAAATTATCATAGTGGAAAAAGAAGCAAGCTATATATAGTGCATGATCCTATACACATACATACATACATACATACATACATACATACATACATACATACATACATATTTCCTATCCCTTTATATGCATAAGAAAACAAGCGGGAGGAAAGTGATATCTTTAGTCAAATCTTGTTTACTAACGTACTATTAATGATTATCTTTTCTTTTTCTTTATACCTTTTTGCATTTTTCAATTTCCTAAAATAGCCTTACATGCCTTTTATCACCAGGAGAAAAATTACTTCTAAAGTAATTTCAGTCAACATGCATACTAAGAACTCTTCAGATTTAACTGCTAGAAGCTGTGCATGAATGCCAGTCCTTGCATCTGTCTTGGAACTCACAGAGAGCTCTTTTCCCATGGCTTTAAGCAATACTCAAAAAGACTAGCATACCTGAATTTCCTAGTCCTATGTTTTTTTCATCCAACAGCCAGTCTTGTATTTCTAGCTGTTTTCTAAACATTTCAACCAAACCATTTTACAGATAACTCATACAGTCATCCTTTGATATGCATGGCGAATTTGTTCCAGGATCCCCCTTGTATACCAAAATCCATGGATGCTCAAGTTACTGGTATAAAATAGTGTAGTATTTGCATATAACCTACACACATCCTCCTATATACTTTAAATAATCTCTAGATTACTTAATAACACTTAATACGATGTAAATGCTATGTAAATAGTTGGTATACCATGTTGTTTTTTATTTGTATCATTTTTTATCATTGTATTGTTTTTTCTGACAATTTTGTTCCACAGTTGTTTGAATTGGTGGATGCAGAACCCATGAATATGGAGAGTCAATTGCATTTCATTATGCTCAAAGGTAAATGCATAACTTTTTCCGCACAGCTAATCTTCTAGCAACCCCATTGCTGTCCATGGCAAGCAGGCTTAGTCAATCTCGCCCTTTCCCGTTTCAGGTTCATTAAAAAACTCTTGTCAAAATCTCTTTCATCCCACCTTATTCTTCATTCTCACTTCCATCAGCATATCAGTCCAGGCCCTAGTAACATTAATGTTACTAATGGCACTGTTAGTAACATTAGTTACCAGCATTCAAGTGGGTCTTCCTGATGCCATTCTCTCCCATCCTGAAATCACTGCTCTTTATATAGAACTTGTATGATGTCATTCATTGGCTTAAAAACGTTTAAAGCCTTCATTTTTCTACCACCCCAATCTAAATTTCTATGCCTGGCTTTTATTAAAACCCATAATTTGGCCCCACCCTAACTATTTAACTTTATTTTCCACTATTCGCCAGTCTCCACCCTCATCAACGAGAAGACATACCATAATCCACCTCACCACTAACCCTTGGAATATCTAAACTTAAAAATGGTCCTTCCTTTCCCCTTTACTTGTATTTAAAGAACCTGACGAATTATTCCTCCTCTGCTAAACCTTTCACAATTTCTTCAACCTCATTTATGTTTCACATTTTCAGAACATATCTTGCCGTTTATTAGGAATCTCACAATTATTCACTCTCATGTAGATAGATTTACAATCATGTATGTTGTCATCTTCTATTAAATTCCATACTCCTTGAAGGCAGGAGCCATGCCTTATTCTGTACTCAGAATGATGCAGAGCACACAGAAAGTACTCAAACCTTGTTGACTGATCCAGTGAGAAATGACCAACTTCAGTTCCAGCCTCTCTTTAACATGTACATAGCAATTTGGGCAAGTCAAGCTCCATCCTGAAGGACATAATAGGGGACTCTTTTAAGCACATTATTATGAAGGCCCTTCAGGGATAACACCAGAGTGATGAGGTGCCCTATTCCAGGGATAATGGAGACAGAGTTCTTGGGATTCATCACTGGGGTCCTCAAAGCATCTTCCAAGGGCATAATAAGGAAGGACTCAAACACCTTTGAATCTCTGTGAGACCAGGCATGATGTCTTTTGAAAGAGTTCTTTCACTGGAGTGAATGTCAAAGAGAAGTATAATAAAATAAAAGAACTGAGTAGGGTACCCCTTGTTCATAAAATGACACTACCTAAATCACCCAATCTCACTGAGTCTTGGTTTAACTCAAGAGGTTCCATGCCACTATAAGAGGTGGTAACTGCCAACTGATAGGAAATATTTTCATATGCATAGTCATAGTGCCCCATATTTATGAACTTCTTAAGAGTTTTCAAAAAGCTTTCTATATACATTATCTTTTACTTTCTAACTTCTCTAAATACAAGGTGAGAGAGACTCAAGTGTTCTATCAAAACAAAATCTTGGCCGGGCACAGTGACTCACGCCTGTAATCCCAGCACTTTGGGAGGCAGAAGCGGGTGGCTCACTTGAGGTCAGGAGTTCGAGGCCAACATGGCCAACATGGCAAAACTCCATCTCTACTAAAAATACAAAAAATTAGCCAGGTATGGTGGCAGGTGCCTGTAATTCCAGCTACTCGGGAGGCTGAGGTAGGAGAATTGCTTGAACCCAGGAGGCAGAGGTTGCAGTGAGCAGAGATTACACCACTGCACTCCAGTCTGGGCAACAAGAGCAAAACTTCATCTCAAAATAAAAAAAAAAACATAAAGACTTTTGCAAGGACCATGTCCCACCCAGAATGGTGCCTGCCTTTCTACAGTTTTTCAGGAAGAGGAAACATTTTCTGCTTCTCTTGCTGAGGTTTTTTTTTAACCACCCATTAGGAACGTATAGATTTCAGTATCGAACACTGGGATTCCCTCAGCAGGAATCCCTCAGGAGGAAAATTGCAAACAGAGCTGAAAGTGCAATGTGGAAAGGTCAGGCTGAGGAAGGTTCTTAGCCAGTAGACCAAGGGCAGAAAGGACACTGCCTCCTCAGTCTCCCACTGGGGAACTTGTGATTCTTGTCCCCTGACCTCAGAATTCCTTGTCATGTTTGTTTTGTCTCCAAGGAAAGGGTTTGAATTACAAAATTTAAGGCTAGAGTGGGCCTCCTGCAGTTAACATTAATCCTCTCTCTCCTTCACTGGCCTAGGTGAAGTCCAGGACCATGTAGTTCTGACGTCCACTCTCTCGGGAGATCACCAGTTCACCCATCTCACCCGGTAAGCTGGGCCCTAGTTTGGCGACAGGCATCTTCCACCCACCTGGGAGGCAGGGTTCAACACTCTGCCTCTGACCTTTTTTCCTTCCTCTTCCACCTGCTTAGGCAGCCAGAAGGGGTTGTCTAGCCAGCACCTGAGCTTTGGCGCTCCTCAAGCAGGTGGAGGAAATTTCAGGCACCTGGCTCCTCAGGTGTCTGCCATCCAGCTGCTCTTCAGGCCTGCCCAGCAGAGCTCTCTTGATCCAGCTAGAACTGGCCAGAACTGACTCACTCAGGAATGTGTAGACTTTGGCATCATGGGCTGCTTTAATTTGCACAATTTCCAAATACCTTTTTCTTCTTTTTCTGATGAGTCATCTCCCTAGACTTGCATTTTAAAGAGATAGATAGTTATCAGGTTCCAGAGAAGACATGGTAGAACATTTATATCTCAAAGACACAGAGCTGAGACTTCAGGTTTAGATACTATAATTTGCCTAAACCAAAAAGGAATGTGTAGGTAAAGTTCTAGTCAAGAAAGGATGGCCAGGAAAAACACCTTAAACCAAGGGATGGCTTGCTTTGCTGATTTAAGCCAATGGCTTCTTTATCATAAGACTTCCCAGTGATTTAGTCCTCCCTCTCTTCCAGTGCACAGAGACATACCCCTCCTTACAAATGAAAATATTCTTTATAGATGTAAACTTATTTTACAAAAATGTTTCAAAATAACCAGATGAAAATCATCCTTATGCCAGAAAGACTTGTTTTCTTTTTTCATTACTAGAAATGAAACAGTAAGTATTTGTTGTATTGACATACTTAGGCTTAGACCTATGTTTAACAAGAAAGCCTAATAATAGCACTGTGGTTAGACTGTAGCCTCTTTTTCCAAACCATCATTTTATTATTATGGAAAGAAAGGATCAAATACCTTTCATTCATCACATATGATCCTTTAAAACACATTCCACTAATAAGTCCCATTTGGAACAGCTGAAAATCTTTTAATAAGACTTTTTAAAGATGAGCTCATGGCTTAGTGTAAATTTCATAAGCTTAATTAGGTCAAATGGAAGGAACTCAGATGAGTAGTTGCCCAATCAGAGCCCATTATTTGTAAGTCATCAGCCTCCTTCATGACCTTAAAACTCCACTCTGACCTAATTATTGCAAACTTATATACAACAAAGTGAAAGGATTAATTTTCATTCATCAACCTCTCAATCCCAGATTTTCAAAGAAAAAACCTATGTAAGGAATACTTACCAAAACCAGACAGGAAAATTAGAGCCTGCATACTTAAGAGTCAAATTTGTTCCACTACAGCCAGGTCACATACAATTACATCATTTTGTTCTTCATACACTCTGGAACTGACCAGGACAGAGTTTAGCATAGAAAAACTGTAAGAAATAGGTTCCAAAACATAGAAATTGCAAAGTCCAAAAGGCTATGAAAAAAACTAATGTAAATGAGAGACTCCCCTCCCTTTGTTTTAAAGAAATAGACCCATCAGAGAAATGCAAATCAAAACCACAATGAGATACCATCTCACACCAGTTAGAATGGTGATCATTAAAAAGTCAGGAAACAACAGGTGCTGGAGAGGATGTGGAGAAATAGGAACACTTTCACACTGTTGGTGGGGCTGTAAACTAGTTCAACCATTGTGGAAGTCAGTGTGGCCATTCCTCAGGGATCTAGAACTAGAAATACCATTTGACCCAGCCATCCCAGTACTGGGCATATACCCAAAGGATTATAAATCATGTTGCTATAAAGACACATGCACACGTATGTTTATTGCGGCACTATTCACAATAGCAAAGACTTGGAACCAACACAAATGTCCAAAAATGATAGACTGGATTAAGAAAATGTGGCACATATACACCATGGAATACTATGCAGCCATAAAAAATGATGAGTTCATGTCCTTTGTATGGACATGGATGAAGCTGGAAACAATCATTCTCAGCAAACTATCGCAAGGACAAAAAACCAAACACCGCATGTTCTCACTCATAGGTGGGAATTGAACAATGAGAACACTTGGACACAGGAAGGGGAACATCACACACCAGGGCCTGTTGTGGGGTGGGGGGAGGGGGGAGGGATAGCATTAGGAGATATGCCTAATATAAATGATGAGTTAATGGGTGCAGCCCACCAACATAGCACATGTATACATATGCAACAAACCTGCACATTGT
This sequence comes from Homo sapiens, assembly GCF_000001405.40. Lineage (NCBI taxonomy): Eukaryota > Metazoa > Chordata > Mammalia > Primates > Hominidae > Homo > Homo sapiens. The sequence goes on along the minus strand of NT_187504.1, from coordinate 151,669 downwards.
GCATGTGTACCCTAGAATTTAAAGTATAATAAAAAAATTAAAAAAGAAAAAAAGAAATAGATGTTCTATAAAAATATACACAATTTTTACAGACAAATACATTTATAAGTTGTTTTTATCTTAAAAATTGGGGATATTTCATATTTATAACTAATTATTGAGCCTTAAGTTTTCTTGGCCATTTCTAGGCTAATAAACTAAGAATCATGTAAACTAAGGCAAAGTAGAATAGACATAAAAGTCCTGAACACTTCAACTTCCTATCCTTCAAGAAGTATACCTCGCAAAGCTCATTTGAGAGAGGAAAAGCTTTCTTCCACCCTCTGTTTTACAGCGCTGAGGCTTCTCGTCACATTTCTATGACTTGTAGCTTAAATCCATGTTACATGGTCACTGGTATTGTTAGTGCTTCTCTTTTAACACTGTAGGAATTAATCAATTTGGTGGCATATTTAATTAATTCTATCACTAGAGGATTGTAAAATTACATATATGAATACCTCACTTTAAAGGCCACTTAATTTTTTTCCAAGGGGATATTTGACTATATTTCACTTGTATCTTATTTAATGATTTTATAATTTAAACCCTAAATTATAAATCTAGAATTTAGAGAGTATATTTCCTCACTGGATTACATTTTTGGAAATATTATTTTATATGTGCACAAATATTACAAAATCACTGTAGACACCTGAAAACTATATTATCTTTTAAAGGCAATATTCTACATTAAACTGGTATAACAAAATTGTTTGGTGCATTTTTTCCAGTACATTTTGTATATATTACATGTTTAACCTTTTTTTATCCAGCACATAATTTTTGAGTACTAAGTGCTAGGTTCTGCATTACTAACTGAATTTAAAGAGTGAAATAACAGACATGGTCTCAGACAATAAAAATTAACATTAGGTCACCTATTTATATATTTTTAAATGGTAATTATGAAAACTTTTTGAGATTTTTAACTAGATAACATTATAATAACACACTTGATATTGTTAATATTTGCCAGTGAGCAAAAAAGAAAATAAAAAGATGGTTTTATTCAATATACACTTTAAAATTGCAGGAAATAGTCAAGTTTCTCTGCTTTGCAGTTGAATGTCTATGTGTTTTTCTCTGCAACTTGGCTTTTGTGGAGTGAGAAACAATTATTCTTCCAGCCCAATGAAGGCAGAAGAGTAACAATAAATCTAATATTTTAAATGCTTATCAAAAAATAGTAAACATATTATTTCAGAATACTGATATCAATAAGTTGACCTACAAAAAAAGCCAAACTGACAGTATTACTGAATAAGGAAAGGCCCAAAGAGACAAAATACTTTTTATTTTGTAATCTCGGTATGACACAACTTACCCTAACTATAAAGACCCTAAATTACCAACATGGGTGCTTATAATATGGAGAGTTAAAAAAGTCATTTCACTTTTAGCTTTTTTATTTCTCTCAGAATAAAAAGTGTATAAGGAGTTTATAAAGAAGTTGATACTATAAGTTAGTACTACAATGACAGCACTTTTCAAGAAAAGACTTTTTTCTCTCTTACAAATATCATGTTAGCAGTATTTGTTTTCTCCAGAAATAATGAGGAAATAAAAACATAAGTATGTGGGTAATTAGTGTAGTTTCTTAAAGAAATGAGTTAGGCAACAGGCTAATAATGTATACTTCGCTGGCTTTTGAATGCCAACAATCATATTCTTTATAAGGCACAGAGATTTTTCTAAAGAATAAGTATGTGAACCTGAAAAGTAATCACCACTTGGTAGTGACAATATGGATAGGGTGAAGGGCGTCACCAAGAAGCAATGAAAAGATACATTTGCAGTTAAATTTGAAAACCATGATGTTTAATACATATAGTAATAAAGAATACTTTCTCCTGTTTCAAAATTATTTTAGAATTTAAGATAGAAGCTAAAATACCTAGGGATAATGATATGACTATTAAAAATTAAAGGACATTTTGAGTATTAGAAGAATGAAAACTTATTACCCAATGCACAGGGATAATTCATTATGCTCCATATCCATTGAATTAAAAGACAGGCCCATTACCTGGATAATTTGAAAGTTTAATTTTATTTAAAAGTCTTGTTTCATTCATCAAGCTAAAGGAATTAGCTCCCAGAAATATTCTATGATTGCATATCTGCAACTCTGTAGGAAGTATAGAAAGAATGTTATAAGGGCCACCATCTAAACATTATTATGTAAATAATTTAGTACCATTCCATTTGCCTTTGTAGAATTAAAAATGTAAATGGCTTTCTCATATTAGGAAACAGCACTTTTCAAAACCCAGATAAACATAGTATATTGCAAGAGAATAATTATTTTCTTTATTAAAAAAGAAATACTGGATGCTAAGTCCAAAAGACATAAATTATTTTATACTAATAACTACTAATATTTTATTCATTAAAATATAAAGGTCAAAGATTTCAAAAGATCTTTAAATGATTAATAACATGTTGATCTTTTTCTTCTTTCTGTAAACCTTTTTGAGTCTTCACAATACTAAACTATACAAGCAATATTAAATAGTATATAAACTTGGATTAAAATATTCAAATTTACTAGAATGTGGACATTGGAAAGAATGAAAATAAACAGAAGCATGAAGCAGCAGATATAAAATTAAGAAAGTAACTAAGAGTGTTTAAAGTACATATTCATCTGTGGTCTAATGTCTACCATAAACAATGACTCTTCTCAGTAAAACACAAATTGTTCATGAAGGGAAAAAGCATGTTGTATTAGAGAATATTCAACATATTTTTTTTAGTACTAACTTGTGCCTGGAGTATTATTGGTTTTTCTATTATGAACTTATGCACTTGATAATTTTTTTCATCAAAATTGTATGTACAATTCCATTCAGAAGCAGTTTTTGGTGGGTTTTTTTTTTTGAGACAGAGTTTTGCTCTTTTCACCCAGGCTGGAGTGCAATGGTGCGAATTTGCCTCACAGCAACCTAGCAACTTTTTCCTCCCAGGTTCAGGTGATTCTCTTGCCTCAGCCTCTCGAGTGGTTAGGACTACAAGCATGCACCACCATGCCTGGCTAATTTTGTGTTTTTAGTAGAGACATGGTTTTGCCATGTTGACCAGGCTGGTCTTGAACTCCTGACCTGAGGTAATCCGCCCACCTTGGCCTCCCAAAGTGCTGGATATGGGCAAAAGCCACCATACCTGGCCTCAAAAGCAGTTTTTAAAAGCAAACACAATATAACACCAAAGTTGAAAAATCTATGCTCACCCAAGGATGCCAGGTTTAATAAATTATTGATAGAATACTACATCAAAAATAAGACAATAACCAAAAATATACCATTAAAGATGTATCCACTCCTACAACTAGAGATAATTAATCTATCGGGTAGCAGATGATACTTCAATCAGTTTCAGCATGTCTGAAATCTTTAAGGACAAAAGTGATAAAACATGACTTCATTCTTCATTAGACTCTTAGAACACTTGAAGGAAAATAATTTCTGAAGCACGAAGAGGTAAAGAGGTGTAATCTTTCAAAAAGATATTCAGTGTTTAAAATCCAAGAGTGCAATATCAGGCTGGGTGCGGTGGCTTATGCCTGTAATCCCAGCACTTTGGGAGGCCATGGTGGGTGGATCACCTGAGGTCAGGAGTTCGAGTCCAGCCTGGACAACAGGGTGAAACTCTGACTGTACTAAAAATACAAAAATTAGCCAGGCATGGTGGTGTGCACCTGTAGTCCTAGCTACCTGGGGGGCTGAGACAGGAGAATCGCTTGAACCTGGGAGGTAGAGGTTGCAGTGAACCAAGATCATGCCACCTCATTCCAGCATCAGTAACAGAATGAGGTTCCATCTCAAAAAAAGAAAAGAGTGTAATATCGGTATGCACAGACAATATACTGAATGAAACAAATAGAATAATTTGAAGAGGTATCTTGATGAACAAGGAGTCATTAGAAAGGTTGTATTCATGTCTTTGAAGGAAATTGCAATGTGAGAAATTAATACTTTGACTACTAAAAGTTTATTGCTAACATGTATTGAGTTATTAACGTGTGTTAGGCAGAGTACCATATAATTTACAAGTGTTATCTCATTTATTGTAGGTAAAATGTAATTTCGAACTCTGGGAGTATAAATGAATTAGATAGAATAAAATTCTATTTAAATGGTCATCAGTAAATCGGTATCTAGGAACAGGGTGATACAGTGCCCAAGTTTTCTATTCTTACTAAATGTTGTGTTTCATTTTCAATGTTTTCTTGGATATTGCTCTTTTTTGGTGATTTTGATTTTTTTTTATTTTAGAAAACTAATAAATTGACTCTTCTTGGTACTGACTCGGGTTTTATAGAATAAAAAGCAATTAAATTCTGTATATTTACCTTTACCTCATCTTTCCTCTTTTAAATTTACTTTAATTGACATATAATAAATGTACATGTTATGGGTTACAGAGTGATATTTTGATATATTTATGCAATGCGTAAAGATCAAGTCAGAGTCATTATCATATCCATTATCTAAATCATGTATTATTTCTTTGCAGTGAGAATATTCAAAATCTTTTATTTTAGTTGTTTGAAAACACACAATAAATTCCCATTAACTACAGTCACCCAACAGTGCTGTAGAGAACTAGAACTTCTTCCTTCTCTCCAGCTGTAATTTTGTATGTATTAACCACATTTTTCTTTTTTTTTTTTTTATTATACTCTAAGTTTTAGGGTACATGTGCACATTGTGCAGGTTAGTTACATATGTATACATGTGCCATGCTGGTGCGCTGCACCCACTAATGTGTCATCTAGCATTAGGTATATCTCCCAATGCTATCCCTCCCCCCTCCCCACCACAGTCCCCAGAGTGTGATATTCCCCTTCCTGTGTCCATGTGATCTCATTGTTCAATTCCCACCTATGAGTGAGAATATGCGGTGTTTGGTTTTTTGTTCTTGCGATAGTTTACTGAGAATGATGGTTTCCAATTTCATCCATGTCCCTACAAAGGATATGAACTCATCATTTTTTATGTCTGCATAGTATTCCATGGTGTATATGTGCCACATTTTCTTAATCCAGTCTATCATTGTTGGACATTTGGGTTGGTTCCAAGTCTTTGCTATTGTGAATAGTGCCGCAATAAACATACATGTGCATGTGTCTTTATAGCAGCATGATTTATACTCATTTGGGTATATACCCAGTAATGGGATGGCTGGGTCAAATGGTATTTCTAGTTCTAGATCCCTGAGGAATCGCCACACTGACTTCCACAATGGTTGAACTAGTTTACAGTCCCACCAACAGTGTAAAAGTGTTCCTATTTCTCCGCATCCTCTCCAGCACCTGTTGTTTCCTGACTTTTTAATGATTGCCATTCTAACTGGTGTGAGATGATATCTCATAGTGGTTTTAACTATGAGTTCTAATTAAACTAAAGAGCTTCTGCACAGCAAAAGAAACTACCATCAGAGTGAACAGGCAACCTACAACATGGGAGAAAATTTTCGCAACCTACTCATCTGACAAAGGGCTAATATCCAGAATCTACAATGAACTCAAACAAATTTACAAGAAAAAAACAAACAACCCCATCAAAAAGTGGGCGAAGGACATGAACAGACACTTCTCAAAAGAAGACATTTATGCAGCCAAAAAACACATGAAGAAATGCTCATCATCACTGGCCATCAGAGAAATGCAAATCAAAACCACATTTTTCTTATACTCTTCTGTCTCCTACTCTTTCCAGGATATGGTAACCAAAACTCTACTATCTATTTCTACGAGATTAAAAATTTTAGCTTCCATACATAAGTGAGAACACGTAGTTATGTGGTGTTTATGTTTCTATGCCAGGCTTATTTCACCTAAGATAATGCCCTCCACTTGCATTCTTGTTGCCACAAATAACAGGATTTTGTTCTTTATTATGACTAAATAATATTCCATTATATATGTATGTCACATTTCTTTATCCATTCATCTGTTGATGGACACTTTTGTTGATTCCATATCTTGGCTACTGTGCATAGTGCTGTAATAAACATGGGGGTGCAGGTAACTCTTTGATATACTGATTTTCTTTGCTTTGGATATATACTGAAAACCATATGGTTAAATTAACAAACACAATAAAAGTGTTTGGCAAAATTAAATATTCTTACATGACAAAAAACCTCTCATCAATTTAGTATAGAAAATATATGCCTTAACACAAAGGACATAAAGGACAAATCTACAGCTAAGATCATACTGAGTGTGGAAAAGGTGAAAAATTTTACTGTGAACAAGAAAAAGATTATACTGGAACAAAAAAAGGATGTCTATTTTCACCAATCATATTTCACATAGTGAAAGTCTTAGCCAGGACGATTAGGTGAGAGAAAGAAATAAAGGACATCTGAATTGGAAAGGAGACAGTCAAATTGTCCCTGTTTAAAGACAATGTGATCTTATACATGGAAAAAAATAAGACTCTACCAAAAGCTTCTTAGGGTGATACATGAAATTAATAAAGTTGCAGGATATAAATCAACATACAAAAATCAGTAGCATTTCTACATATTGATAGTAAACTAGCTGAAACAAGAAATTAAGAAAGTAATTCCTTTTACAATAGCTACAAAAATGTACTTAGAGATAAATTTAACCAAGGAAGTAAAAGATTTTGACAACAAAAATGACAAATATTAATGAAAGAAATTAAAGAAAACACAAAAAAGGAAAGACATCCACGTTTATAGATTGAAATAATATTCTTAAAATGACCCACTATCCTATGTGATTTACAAATTTAGTACAATCACTAGCTTGTATTTTTAAAAGCACCTTTGCTGCATATTCTTAAGATATTCAATGACAATGCCTGGATTTAAGTTTGAGGTATTATTATATCTATTTTATACTGGGCACAATATAATGTTATCAGAGGTAATGGTTTTGATTTGTCCTACGTCATACAGTAATATATATATTGTGATTTATAGACATGCTATCTTTTAATACTCAGGCATTTAGAAAGTTCATTTAGACAAAGTTATAAAAACTTGCCTTCCTTTCTGCCTATATCACCTAAAAATCCTAATTTAAGAGGTAATAACATTTTTTATTTGATATACAATTTATCAACACAATAAAAATCTAACAATTATGTGCAGAGTGTGAAAATCTCATCAGATTAAGGAACACAAATACATCTTTTTCATATTTTGAATGTAAAACTGTTTTGGAAACAGTTATTTTTAGAAACAGTTAAAAACATTTTTTCATTAGTTTTTCATGTAAAATTGTGACAACCAGCATGAAATAACTGTCATCACAGAAGCATGGTATATTCGATTCTGAAACATATTCTTTGTAAGTTTTAATATATTTACGTATTATTTATACTTAATTGTAACCCATAATGTACAGATATTATTTTTCCTTCAACTCTTAAGAATACTCTTAAATAATAAAATAAAATTAATGAATTATAATTTTTGTTGGTTGGGAAAAAGACACACACGTGACAGTGCATCACTTCACCTCATCATTTCATCTCATCATTTCATCTCATCATTTCATCTCATCATTTTATCTCATCATTTCATCTTATCCCATCTCATCTCATCATTTCATATCATCTCATCATTTCATCTCATCATTTCATCAAATCTCATCTCATCCCATTTCCATTTAATTTTCATTATTTCATTTCATCATTTCATTTCACTATTTCATTTCATCTAATTTCACTTATTTCATTATGTCATTTCATATCATCTCATTTCATTTCATCTCATATTTTTGATATCATTTTTCATACCATTTTTCATCTCAATTCATTTCATCTCATCATTTCATCTCATCTCATCATTTCCTCCTTTCTTTTCAACATTTCATCTCATTTCTTCTCATCTCATTACAATTTTATTTCATTATTTCATCTCATTTCATTATTTCACCTAATTTCATTATTTCATCTCATCTCATCTCATCTCAATTCATCTCATCTCATTTCATCTCATCATTTCATCTCATCATTTTTCATCTCATCATTTTTCATCTCATCATTTAATCTCATTTCATTTCATTTCATCTCATCATTTCAGCTCATCATTTCATGTCATATCTCTTCATCATTTCATTTCAACATTTCATCTCATCATTTCATCTCATCTTTCAATTTCATTTCAGTATCATCATTTCATCATTTCATTTCATCTCATTTCATTATTTCATTATTTCCTTTCAATTCATCTCATTTCATCTAATCATTTTTCATCTCATCATTTTTTATCTCATCATCTCATCTCATCATTTAATCATTTCATCTCATTTCTTCTCATCATTTCATCTCATCATTTTATCTCATTTCATCTCATCTCATTTCAATTTCATTATTTCATTTCATTTCACTTCATTTCATTCCATCTCATCATTTTATCTCATCTCATTTCATCTCATCATTTCTTCTCATCTCATTTCATCATTTCATCTCATTTCATCTCATTTCATCTCATCTCATCTCATCATTTCATCTCATCATTTCATCTCATCCTTTCATTTCATCTCATCGTTTCATCTTCTCATTTCATCTCATCTCACCTCAGCATTTCATCATTTCATCTCATCATTTATTTCATCTCATTTTATCTCATCATTTCATCTCATATCTCAATTCAATTTCCTTTCATTATTTCATTTCATCTCATTCATTTCATCTCATTTCATTACATCTCATCATTTCCTCTCATCATTACATCTCATCTCATCTCATTTCATCATTTCATCTCATCATTGCATTTCATCATTTCATCTCATCATTCATCTCGTCATTTCATCTCATTTCCGTTTCATTTCCATTTCATTATTTCATTTCATCATTTAATTTCATCATCTCATTTAATTTCACCTCATTTCATTATTTCGTTTCATTTTTTCATTTCATTATGTCATTTCATTTTTTCATTTCATTATGTCATTTCATTTCATCTCATTACATTTCGTCTAATTTCATTTCACCTCATTTCATCTCATCATTTCATTTCATCTCATCATTTCATCTCTTTTCATCCCATTTCATCTCATCTCATCAACTCTTTTCATCTTATCTCATCATTTCATCATTTCATCTCATCATTTCATCTCATCTCGTATCTTCTCATCTCATTTCAATTTCATTTCATTATTTCATTTCATTATTTCATGTCATCTCATCTCATCATTTCATCTCATCACATCTCATCATTTCATCATTTTATTTCATCATCTCATCATTTCATCTCATCTCATTTCAATTTTATTTCAATTTCATTTCATTATTTCATTTCATCTCATCAGTTCATCTCATCATTTCATCTCATCATCTCATCTCATCTCATCATTTCATTTCATCATTCATCTCATTTCATCTCATCATTCATCTCATCATTTCATATCATTATTTTATCTCACCTCATTTCATCTCATTTCATCTCATCTCATTCCATCATTACATCTCATTTCATCTCATTTTATGTCATCATTTCATGTCATCATTTCATCACATCTCATATCATTTCATCTCATTTCATCATTTCATCTCATTTCAACTCATTGCATCTCATCTCATCATTTCCGTTTCATTATTCCATTTCATCATTTCATTCATTATGTCATTTCATCTCATCATATTTCATCTCATCTCATCATTTCATTTCATCTCATCATTTCATCTCATTTTATCTCATCTCATCATTTCATCTCATCATCTCATCTCATCTCATCATTTCATTTCATCATTCATCTCATTTCATCTCATCATTCATCTCATCATTTCATATCATTATTTTATCTCACCTCATCATTTCATCTCATTTCATCTCATCTCATTCCATCATTACATCTCATTTCATCTCATTTTATGTCATCATTTCATGTCATCATTTCATCACATCTCATATCATTTCATCTCATCATTTCATCATTTCATCTCATTTCAACTCATTGCATCTCATCTCATCATTTCCGTTTCATTATTCCATTTCATCATTTCATTCATTATGTCATTTCATCTCATCATATTTCATCTCATCTCATCATTTCATTTCATCTCATCATTTCATCTCATTTTATCTCATCTCATCATTTCATCTCATCATTTCTTCTCATCTCATCATTTCCATTTCATTTTCATTTCATTACTTCATCATTTCATTATTTCATTTCATCTCATTTCATTATTTCATTTCATTATGTCAGTTCATTTCATCTCATTACATTTCATCTCATTTCATCTCATCATTTCATACATCATTTCATTTCATCATTTCATGATTTCATCTCATCTCATCTCATTATCTCATTTCATCCCATTATTTCATCTCATTTCATCATTTCATTTCATCATTACATCTCATCATTTCAACTCATCTCATTTCAATTTCATTTCAATTTCATCATTACATTTCATAATTTCCTTTCATTATTTCATTTCATTTAATCTCATTTTTCGTCTCATCATTTTTCATCTCATTTCATCTCATCATTTCATCTCATCATTCATCTCATTTCATCTCATCATTTTATCTCATTTCATCTCATCTCATTTCAATTTCATTATTTCATTTCATTTCATCTCATCATTTCATGGCTCGTTTTATCTCATCATTTCATCCATCATCTCATCATTTCATCTCATTTTAACTCATCTCATCTCCTTTCAATTTCTTTTCAATTTTGTCATTTTGTCTCATAATTTCATCTCATCATTTCTACTCACCATTTCATCTCAAAATTTCATCTCATCATCTCATCTCATCATTTTGTCATTTCATCTCATCATTTCATCTCATCTCAAGTCATCTTATCATTTCATCTAAGTGAAATGATGTGATGGAATCATGAAATGAAATGGATAGGATGCCCTCAGTGATGTTAAATTTAAAAATTGTTTCTTTTCATGTATGCATTTTTATATTTATATGTATTTATATTTATATTTACTTATATTTATTTTTACTTATTTTTATTTATATTTTTACTTATTTCTTTATTTATAGACAAGGTCCTGTTCTGTGGCCTAGGCTGGAATGCAGTGGTGCATTCACAGTTCACTGCAACCTCGAGCAAACCTCCCATCTTAGCCTCCCAGGTAGCTGGGACCCCAGGTGTGCACCACCACACCTGGTTAATATTTTATTATTTGTAGAGATGGAGTCTTGCTATTCTGCCCAGGCTGGTCTCAAACTCCTGGGCTCAAGCAATCCTCCTGCATTGGCAACCCAAAATGCTGGGATGACAGATATGAGCCACAGTGCCCAACCTATTTATTTATTTATTTATTTAATAAAGACAAGGTCTCACTATGTTGCCCAGGCTGGTCAACTCCTGGACTCAAATGATTCTCCAAACTTGGCCTCTCAAAATGTTGGGATTACAGGTATGAGCCACCATGCCTGGCCTAAAAATAGTATTATATTTTTGTATCATATAATTTTCAATTAGGTAATATGAATATTCTGGACAGGAAATACGCCCTTAATTACATAGGAATAAACATTTGTTACACTGAGAAAAATCTAATAGAGCTAAAAATAAAAATTAATTTGGAAAGGTCATTAGATACTGATACATTCTTACGTTTACACATTCTTTCATATATTCATATATTCTTTTAACAGTATCAATGGTTTGGAGTTATGTGTACAAAACCATGACCTATATGTAATACAACTAATAACAGGCACTTACAATTCAAGGCATATTATATACAAAGCTTTAACTTCTTATCAAAATATTTCGTTTTTTTCTTTCTGTTTTGGCAGATACTATGAACACAACATTCAACTCACAGACACCATGGAGCCCTTACTAGGCATAAAGTACTGTGAAAGGCCAGGGCTAGGACAGAACTGAGACAGGGCCAGGTATAGGACAGAACTGGGGCAGGGTCATGGCCAGAGAAAAACCAGGGGCAGGGTCACAGCCAGGGACATGAGAGGACTAAGGCTAGGGCCAGAAGCAGCGCAGAACCAGGGCCAGGACAGGGACATGGCAGGGCCAGGGCCATGGCAGGATCAGGGTCAGCAGAAGGTCAGGGCAGGGCTAGGGTAGCACAGGGCCAAGGCAGGGCAGGGTCAGTGTAGAGCAAGGAACAGGCCAGGGTATGGCAGGGCAGGGACAGGGAGATCCAGGGCCAGAGTCAGGTCCAGGACATGGACAGGGCAGGGCCAGAAACATGGCAGGACCAGAAAGAGGACAGGGCAAGGGCAAGGCCAGAGAAGGACCATGGAAAAAACATGGCCAGGGAGAGTCCAGGGCAAGGGCAAGGCCAGGGCAGAACCAGAGCCACAGCAGGCCAAAGGCAGGGCCAGGGCAGGGCAAGGCCAGGGTAGGGCGGGGCCAGTGTAGGGTGAGGGTAGGGCCAGGGCGAGTTCAGGGTCAGGGCAGGACTAAGATAGCACAGGGCCAAGGCAGGGACAGGGCAGGGCCAAAAGGAGGGGCCAGGGCCAAGCATGGCCAGTGTCAGACCTGGGGATTGTCAGGGCCAGGGTCAGGGTCAAGGCTGGGCCAGGGACAGGGCCAGAGCAAGGCCAGGGTCAGGGCAGAACCAGGACCAGGATAAGGCAAAGCCAAGGCCAGTGCAGGGCAAGGCCAGGGCAGGCCAAGACCAGGGAAGGGCAAGGCCAGGGTAGAAAAGGCCAGTATACGGCCAGGCCAGGGTAGGAGAAGGCCATGGTAGGGCCAAGGCCAAGGCAGGGCAGGGCTAGGGTAGCACAGCGCATGGCCAAAAACAGAGCAGGGCCATAGCAGTGGCAGGACTAGCAACAGGGCTAGGGCAAGCGCTGGACCAGAGCATGGTGGGGACAATACAGGGCCAGGACAGAGGATGGCAAGGCAGGTCCAGGGCCATTTCATGGACTCGGTAGGCCTGGGGTCAGGCCAGGGCAGGGCAAAGGCAAGGCCAGGGAGAAGGCAGGGCCGGGGCCAAGGCAGTGCCAGGGCAGGGCAGGACCAGTGCAGGGCCAATGCAGGGTGAGGGCAAGGCCAGGGCATGGAAGGGCAGGGCAGGACCAAGGAAGGGCCAGGAGAGGGCCATGGCAGGGTCATGGCCAGAACAAGGGTATGGCTGGGGTCAGGAATATGGTAGGATGAGGGCTGGGCCCAGGCTGGGGCATGCAGGGCAGAGCATGGCCTGTGCAAGGCATGGCCAGAGCCAGGCCATAGAGATGGGAGGGCAACACCAAGGCAGAGTCAGGGTAGATCCAGGGCTGAGCAGAGTCAGGGCAGGTCCAGAGTCGAGGCAGAGCTAGGGCCCAAGCAGGGCCATGGTAGCACCAGGGCAGAGGAGGGCAGGGCAATGCAGGACTGGGCCATGGCAGTGCCTGGTCAACTCCGGGGCAGGGCCAGAAGCAGGACAGGGACAGGGCCAATGCTCAGGCCAGGGACAGGGCATGACAGGACGTGCCAGAGCAGGGCTGGGCCAACGTCGGGGCAGGGCAAATCAGACCAGGACACCTCCAAGTCCAGCTCTGGCCCTGCCTTGGCCCTGGCCCCTTCCTGGCCTGACCTTGTCCCTGGCCCTGCCCTATCCATGCCCTGTGTGTTTGACCAGTGTTTTATAACCAGAATCCTACAAGAAACTTAAATTAGTTCTTTTTGTGCATTTTTAGTAGAGATGGGGTTTCACAATGTTGCCCAGGCTGGTTCCAAACTCCTGAGCTCAAGCCATCTGCCTGCCTTGGCCTCCCAAAGTGCTGGGATTACAGGAGTAATCTGGCCAAGTATTTAACTTCTTTATGCCTGTTTCCTACATTTGGAAAATGGAGATGCTTTAAGTACCTAGCACATAGAATTATTGTGAGAATCAATGCCTCACATATTTACATGTTGATAAAATTATACTCATAGAACACTACTGGAAGCAAAGATAGTATTAGTTAAAATTTAGTGATTACTACAAATATTATTACTATCACAAACAACATAGTATAGACATTACTACTACTATAGTTATCTTAAAAATCTAAAATAAAAATTTTACATAATAGCCTAAAGTAATCTCTCCTGCTCTGCCCTGGCTCAGCCCTAGTGCTGGCTCTGCCCCTAGTCCTACTACATCCCTGGCCCTGACCCTTCCCTGGTCCAGCCGCTGCCCTGGCCCTTCCCATCTTCAGGCCTTACCATGGCCCTACCCTGGTCCTGACCCTGCCCTGGTCTGGTCCTGACCCTGGCCCTACCCCAGAGAAGGGGTATGGCAGAGCCAGGGAAGGGCTGGGGCAAATAAGGGACAGGACACATCCAAATCCAGGAAAGGGCCAGGGCCATGACAGAGCCAGGGCGAGTCCTTGGCAGGGCCAGGTTCCAGGCCAGGGCCAGGAAAGGGTCATGGCAGGGTCACTGTATGGCCAAGGTCCAGGCCAAAGCCAAGGCAGTGGCAGGGTCAGGTCTGCATAAGGGCAGGACCAGAGCCAGTGATACAGCAGGGCCACGGCCAGGGCCAGGGCTGTGCCAGGACAGAAGAAGAGCAGAGCAGGGCAGGACCACAGCCAGGCCATAGAGAGGGTAGGGCAAATGCCAAGGCAAGGCCAGGGTAGTGCCAGGGCTGAGGCAAGGTCAGGGAAGGTCCAGGGCTGAGTCAAGGTTAGAACCAAGACAGGGGCAAAGGCTGGGGCAGATCTAGGGCACAAGCGGGGCAGATCTAGGGCACAAGCATGGCAGGCTAGGGCAGGGCAATGGCAAGACCAGGTCATGGCAGGGCCAGCCCAGGATAGAACAGGGCACAGGCAGGGCAGGGCCAGGGCCATGGCTGGGGCAGGACAAGGACCAGGACTGGGGTCCAGGCCAGGGCAAGGGTATGGCCAGGGCAGAGGTAGGGCCAGAGCCAGGGTGTGGGCAGGACCAAGGCAGGTCTATTGCAGGGCCAGGGTTCAGACCAGGGCCAGAGCAGGGCTGGGACAGGGCCAGGGCCAGAACCAGGAAAGGGCAATGTCAGGACAAGGGCCATGGCAGGACCAGCAACGGGGCTAGGGCCAGGACAGGGTCAGGACCAGGGCTGGGCCAGGGTATGGCCTTAAGTAGTGAAGGGCCAGGGCCAGGGTCCATGCCAGTGCCAGTGCCGGTCCAGGGCAGAGGCAGGGGCATGGCCAGGTCAAGGACAAGGCTGGGGCAGGGCCAAGGTCTGGGTCAGGGTCAGCACAAGACCAGGACAGAGCCAGGGGAGGGACAGGGCCATGGTAAGACCAGGTTAAATCATGGACAAGACACCTGCAAATCCACTTCAGGGCCAGGTCAGGGCAGGGCCAGTTCAGGGCCAGGGTCATTGGCAGGGCCAGGGCCATGGCAGGACCAGGGTCAGGAGCAGGGGTCAATGCCAGAGCAAGGCCACAGATAGGACCAGGTCTGTGCTAGGGCCAGTGTGAGGGCCAAGGCGGGGTCAGAGCAGGCCCAAAGGGAGGGCAGGGCCAGGGCAGGGTGGAGCAGGCCCAGGGTAGCACAGGGTTAAGGTAGGGAACGACCAACCAGGGCAGGTCTATGGCTGGGGCCGGGGCAGGGCCAGGGCTGGGGCAGGGCCAGAGCCAGGGCAGGGCCAAGACAGTGGCAGCTCCAGGGCAGGGCCAGGGTTAGGACCACGGACATGTCCAAGGCCAGTGCCATGGCAAGGGCAAGGGCAGGGGCAGGGCCAGGGTCATCTAAGAACCAGGGACAAAGCCAGGCCCAGAGCTGGGCCAGGACAGGTACCTGGCAGGGCTAGGGTCTGGGACAGGGCCACGGCAGGGCCAGGGCCACAACCAGGTCTGTGCTATAGCCAGGTCAAACACAGTGCCCAGGTAAGGCTAGGGTGAAGGCCAAGGTAGGGCCAGGGCAGGGTCAAAGCCAGGCTAGGGCCAAGGCAGGGCCAGGAAAGCATAGGGCCAGGGCAGGGCAGGGCCAGGCCAGTGCCAAGACCTGGGCAGGGCCAGGGCCAGGGCCACGGCCACGGCCTGGGAAGGACCAGGTTCGGGGCAGGAGCACAACAAGGGCAAGGACAGTACAGGTTCTTGGCACAGCCAGGGTCCAGGACAGTGTCAGGGCAGGGCCAAGGCAGGGTCTGGGCCATGGTAAGACCAGCAACAGGGCTGGGGCTAGGTCAGTGACAGGACCAGAGTCAGGGCAAGGGCCAGAGCAGTGCAAGGCCAGGGTAGGGCCAGGCATTTCAGGGTCAGGGCCAGGGGAGAACCAGGGCAAGGTCTCAAGCAGGGAAGGACCAGGGCCAGGACAGGTCCAGGGCAGGGCCATGACAGGACCAGGGGCTGCGTTAGGGCAAGGGCAGGGCCACAGCAAGGTAAGGGTCAGGGCCAAGGCTAGGGTAGGGACAGGGCAAGAAATATGGCAGGACCAGGGGCAATGCCAAGGCCAAGGCTGAGTCAGGGCTGAGTCAGGGCAGGGCAGGGCAGGGCATGGTATGGCCAGGGCAGGAAAGGACAAGAGCCAGTCCACAGAGAGAGCAGGGCTGATGCCAAGAAAGAGCCAGGCTAGTGCCAAGGCTGAGGCAGTGTCAGAGCATGTCCAGGGCAGGGCCGGGGCCAGGGCCAGAACCGAGCCAGGGCACAGCCAAGGCAGGGTAGGGCAGGGAAATAGCGTGGCCGGGTCAGTACTGGGGCAGGGCAGAGCAGGGCAAGGCGATGGTAGGGGCAGGGCTGAGACAGGCCAAAGAAGAGCCATGTTACACCGGGGCCAGGACACCTCCAAGTCCACTTCAGGGCCAAGGCTATGGCAGGACAAAGACCAGGGCCAGGGTCAGAGCCAGGTCTGTGCTCGGCCAGGGTCAGAGCCAGGTCTGTGCTGGGCCTAGCGAAGACTAGGGTGAGGGCCAAGGTAAGGCCAGGGCAGGGTCAAAGGCAGAGTAGGGGCAGGGCAGGGTGATGACACATCCAGAGCACAGCAGGGCAGGGTGATGGCAAGACCAGGGGCAGACCACTGCCAGCTCAGGGCCAGGGAAAGGCCAGTGCAGAGCCAGGAATGGGTCTGGGTCTGGGTCAGGGCCAGGAACAAGGCAGAGCAGGGCCAGGGCCATGGCAGAGTCAGGGCAGATCCTTGACAGGACCAGGTTCCAGGCCAGGGCCAGGGCAGCAGCAGGGGCAAGGCCTGGATAAGGGCAGGGCCAGGGATATGGCAGGACCAGGGCTAGGGCCAGGGCCAGGCCATAGTGAGGGCAGGGCAAAAGCCAAGGCAGGGTCAGGGCAGGTCCAGGGCAGGTCCAGGGAGCGGCCAGCACCAAGCGGGGCCAAGGCACAACCAGCGCAGGGTAAGGCAGGGCAATGGCACCACTGGGCCATGACAGGGCAAGGTCAGTGCCAGGAGAGGGCAGAACAGGCAGGCCCATGGTGGGGCCAGGGCAGGGATGGGCCAAAGCAGGTCCAGGACATTTCCAAGGCCAGGTCAGGGCCAGAACAGGGATGGGCCAAAGCAGGTCCAGGACATTTCCAAGGCCAGGTCAGGGCCAGAACAGGGGCAGGACCATGACCATTGGCAGGGCCAGTGCCATGACAGGACCAGGGTCAGGACAAGGGGCAGGGCCAGAGCCAGGGCCAGAGCCAAGGTCAGGCCAGTGCAGGTTCAGGGCAGGGCCAGTGTCAGGGCAAGACCAGGGCAGGGACAGGGTAGCACAGGGCCAAGACAGGGTCAGGATGGGACCAGAGCAGGACAGGGCCGAGACAATCCAGGTAACAGTAGGGCAGGTACAGGGCAAGGCAGGGCAGTACAGGGCCAGATCCATGGCAGGCGCAGGGCAAAGCCAGGCCCATTGCCAATGCACCAGCCCTCCCTACAAGGCTCCTACCACCTGGCCACTGCTGCAGCCCGTCCATCGCTGTAAGCCTGACTCCCAACCCTGCCTGCAGCCGCCTGCCCTCCTAGCGCGGCCGCTCTCCTACCGCTCTGGCGCACTGCAGTCTCCGTCACTGCCATCCACCTGCAGCGAGGCGAGCCGTGGTGTTGCAGGCTCTAGGTGTCTCCTCCTCTTCCTGGCACGGAGCAGCTGGGCGGGCAAAGCCAGAAAAGCCTAGAGGAAGTTGTGAGGAGTGGAAGGGTTAGAGCCTCAACTTGTCATGCCAGCCACTGGGTGGCAGGGGCCAGTTTCAGCAAAGGCACTCACACCCACCCTCCAAAGTCCAGCCTCTCCTTTTGGCCCAAGCTGTCTGGGAACTGGGGTCTGGGGTGGGTGCTGGAGACACCACAGATTCCAGCTCCCCACTCCACAGGAACCATTGGGCCCACCGGGGCTGCACTCCTCGGGGAACAGGAGAAGCAGAAAAATTCAGACCCAGCCAGCCCTCCACACCCAGGTGCCAATTCCTGTTCTGGACGCCTCCACGCACAGGGCCCTGTCCCCCGTGGTGTCCCCAGGGGTGCCTGGCAGCCTCTGAGGCACAGACCGAGAGTGCACAGGCCCAGGAACCACGGTGGGTGTGGGGGCTCTGCCATGCTCAGGATTCCCATGCAAACGCTGCGTGCCCTGCCACACTCCAGTATGACCAAGAGTGGGTTGCCCTCTGGAGTGTGGAGTCAGGGAGAGGAGAACCACTCCTTCCTTGGATGCCAACTCTGTTGACCGCCGCCAGCAGTGCAGCCCCTGATAGCACCGAACTCGCCCGCCCTCCACGGCTAGTCCTGCCCTCAATAGCGCCCCCCACCTCCGTCCCCCAATGCTGCCAGTAGCGTATACCCGATAGTGCCCTAACCTGTCCTCCTCCATGGGCACTGCAGCCCCAGAAAGCACCCATAACCCACCCTCCCTGCCGTGGGTAGTGCAGCCCTGTGGAGTGCTACCAACCAGTACCCCTAATGCAGGCAATGACACCCTGGATAGCGCCCCCAACCCACCCCACACTGCGAAAGGTGCAGCCCTGGATAGCCCCTGTCCTACCACTCTGGTTGTGCTGCAGTCTCTGTTACTGCCACCACCAACCACAGTGAGGCAAGCCAGTGGGCCGCAGGCTCTAGCACCCAGCAGCCAGGCATGGAGCAGCTCTCGCTGATGGCCGGCTCCTACCACTCTAACCACGCTGCTGTCTGTCTCTGTGGCCATCTTCTTTCACTACAAAGGAATAAAACTAGGTATCAATAAGAAAAGTAATTTTGGAAACAATACAATCACATGGAAGTTAAATACTACCCTCCTGAATAAATGACTAGCGGGTCAATGAAGATACTAAGACAGAAATTCAAAAATTTCATGAAACAAAGGGTAATGAAAACACAGTATACCAAAACTTGTTACGCAGAAAGCAGTACAAAGGCAGAGATTTACAGCTATAAGTGCCTACCATCCAAACAAAAGAAAAACTTCAAATAAACAATACATCTTAAAGAACTAGTAAAGTAAGAACAAACTAAACCAAAAATAAGAAAATAACTAAGATCGTAGCAGAAACAAAATTGAAATAAAAAACACACAAGATTAAACGAAAAGTTGGTTTTCTGGAAAGCTAAACAAAATTGACAAACTTTTAACCAGCCTAAGAAAAGAGACAAGATTCAAATAAATAAAATCAACAGATTAAAAAAAGGAGACATTACAACTAATACTTCAGAAATTCAAAGGATCATAACTGGCTATTATATGCCAATAAATTGGAAAGCCTAGTAGAAATTGGCAAATTCCTAGATGCATACAACCTACTTAGGTAAAACAATGAAAACATCCAAGACCAGAACAGATTGGTAACAAGTAATGAGATTGAAGCCATCAGAAAAAGTCTCCCAGTAAAGAAAAGCCCAGGAACTGATGTCTTCACTGCTGATGGCTTCACAGCAAACAATTTAAAGACCTAGTACGAATCCTGCTCAAACTATTTTGAAAAACAGGAGGGAATACTTCCAAACTTATTCTATGAGACCATTATTACTGTGATACAAAAATCAGATAAAAGCATCAAAGAAGGAAACTACAGGCCAGTATCTCTAATATTGATGCAAAAATCCTCAACAAAATACCAGTGAATCAAATTCAGTAATACATTAAAAAGATAATTCATCATGATCAAGTGGGATGTATCCCTGGGATGCAAGAGTCACTCAACATACAATGTGATACATCATATCAACCAAATAAATGACAAAAACAGTATGATCACGTCAACTGAAACCGAAAAAGCATTTGATGAAATTCAACATCCCTTCATGCTATAAATCCTCAAAGAAACAGGCACAGAAGAAACATACCGCAACATAATAAAAACTACAGGAAAGACACCCACAGCTAGAATCATATGGAATGGGGAAAAATGGAAAGCTTTTCCTCTAAGATCTGGAACATGATAAGGATGCCCCTTGTCACCACTGTTGTTTAACATAGCACCTGAAATCCTAGCTAAAGCAATCAGTGCAGCCCCTGATATGGCCCCCAACCCACCCTGCCCCCTACCACCAGCAGTGTCGCCCCCCCCAATAGCACACCCAACATACCCAAACCGCCCCGCCTCCCTGGACCATGGGCATTACAGCACCCCATAGCGCCCTCAACCGAAACCGCCACCCCACCCCCCACAGCCGCACAGTGCAGCCCTGGATAGCACACTTAGCCCACCTCACTGTTGCCAGCAATACAGTCTGGGATAGTGCCCCCAACCGGCTCCCCGCCAAAGGCAGTGCAGCCCCGGTTTGGGCCCCCAAACCACCCCCCGGTGCAGGCAGCACAGCCCCAGATAGCACACCCAACCAGCCACCCAAGACGGGCAGTGACACCTGAGATAGGGCTCCCAACCCGTCCCAGGCCACCCGCAGTGCAGCCTGAATAGTGCACTTACCCCGATGCCTTTCTACGCTCTGGCTGGCTGCAGTGTCCATCGCTGCCACCAACCACAAACAGGGCTGCAAACAGGAAGGATTTTATTCACCGTCGATGCGGCCCCGAGTTGTCCCAAAGCGAGGCAGTGCCCCAAGGTGTGTGCAGAGCAGAACGCGGCTCCGCCCTCGCAATGCTCTCCGGGTCTGTGCCGAGGAGAACGCAGCTCCGCCCTTGCAAAGGCACACAGCGCCGGTGCCGGCGTGGCGGAGAGGCGGACAGCGGCGGCGCGGCGGAGAGGCGGTCAGCGGCGGCGCGGCGGAGAGGCGGACAGCGGCGGCGCGGCGGAGAGGCGGACAGCGGCGGCGCGGCGGAGAGGCGGACAGCGGCGGCGCGGCGGAGAGGCGGTCAGCGGCGGCGCGGCGGAGAGGCGGACAGCGGCGGCGCGGCGGAGAGGCGGACAGCGGCGGCGAGGGGCACAGCGGCGGCGCAGGCGCAGAGAGGCGCAGGCCCAGGCTCCACTCCCCAGCTGTGAAAGGGTAAGAGCTGAGGGTGGCTGAGACTCGGGGTTGTTCAGGGCGGGGTGGGCTCTGGACCCAGCAGGCCCGGCACCCAGGTCAGGGCTCCAGGGGAGGCCAGGTGGGCGAAGGCCAAGAAGGGGCCGGGGCTGGTCAGGAAGGGCTCCTGGTGACCAGAGCACTTTGCGTGAGCCAGGTGGGAGGAAGGTGGCCTGGATGAGCCAGGGAGGTGCCGGGAGGGGCCTTGGCAGAGGCGACCACCTCCGTCAGCCCCCAGGCCACTGAACCCTGGGTAGCGAGAACCGACAGGGGAGGCTGCAGACAGAGGAGTGGAGGCTCCCCGGCTTTGGGGGCTCTGAGTAGAAGCATCTAGGGGGTCCCTCAAGACGACCCCAAACGCTTCCCCATGGTGAGAAAAGAAGGCGCAGAGAGGGGCACGGCGCCGGCTCCGGCGCAGAGGGGCGCACAGCAAGATTTGAGGTGATTTCTTTTATTGCCCCAAGTGTACTTCATGTTCAGGCAAGAGGAGTCTGAATTATAGGATGTTTAGAAGCTTCCCTGGCCTCTATCTCTAGATGCCAATAGTACCTGTACCTCTAGTTGTGACAGCCAAAAGTGCATCTAGATGTTGCTAAATGTCCTCTGTGGGTCAAGATGCTTTTTTCAGACATTACTAAAGGTTCTCTGTACATTACAGTTATCCCTGGTGGAGAATCACTGACTTGGAGCAAGAATTTCTTTTTTAAAATTGAAATAGAGAAAGCACTTACCTAGAGTTCAAAACAGAATATTGACATATAATTAGGTAGTGATTTGCAGGATAAGTTAGAGAAGGTAGAAATGGGAGGCAATGAGAATATGCAAAAATGATCATGTCAGTCTAGAAATGAATAGATGGGCTTATAAGCTAGAGCTCTGTGGCTCTGATAGTAATAGAGGCACTGATAGTAATAGAATAGCAGCAGTTGTAGTGGTACTAGAAGCAGCATTAATTGTGCAGTCATAAAAGTACTTCTCACAATTACCTTTAGAAATGTTTGCTACTATGGTTATCCCCATACTGCCGATGAGGAAGCTGAGGTTTAGTGGTCACCCATGGCAATGGTTGGGATTCCAACTCGTATCTGTCTTGCTTCCAACACTTTCTATTGCTTCATCTCTGAAACAGGTTTTGCATTCAAGTGGTTGACAGGAAAAAGCAGTCTGAATGGTCACACTCTCTGCTGTTTGTTAAATTATACTATCCTTCCCAAAATCTCACTCTCTTTATTTAGAGATGTGAACAAAAATTGTTCCCCCTAAGAACGGCACAGGCTGGTACAACTTAGAGCCCCATCTGCTCTGGTTTGTTGGATACTGCCACATTACATTAATTAGTAGAGAGAGAGCATTCACATGCATAATGTGCCCATTTTTCAAAAGCATATTTTACATGGTTCTGTCTTTTCCTTAAAAATTCATTACAAAGATAAGAGTGTGTTTATCACATAAATACAGCCAAATTATGGCATAAGGGAGTTTTAAGAAAATAGACAAAAGAAGTTATAAAATTTTAGACATTATAAAATATTTGTTACTGATATTATGCTATGTTTTTCATGCTATCTTAAAGACTTTTTATAGATATTATTCTATGCTCACAACTAGATTTTGCAATTCCAGTATGCCCATGAATGGAGGAAACCTCCAGTTAGCTTGGTAATTAATTAGCTTCTTTTGTGAAATGTCCAAGCTGCTAATTTCTGTCTTTTTATTTTAAAATAGAACACCTTTTGTTTATTTCTCTGAGACACAGATTTCTCCTACAACTCCAAGTAGGAGAAATAAAAGGAGAAAAACTCCAGAAAGAACTGTTCGGAGTTGGTTAGAAGATTGTCCAGATGATCTTTATTTTAATGTTGGGAAAATATAGATGCCTATCTTGGAATCAGCAAATAAAGTATAGTCATATTAAATTTCATTCTAAATTTCTGACTTTATGGTTTATTTTATATATATAATATATTATATATAAATAAAATTTTATATATGTATATCAGTAAACATATGAAACCATGCATAGTACATAAAAACTAGGTTCAAGTAGGAACCCAGTTTACTTTGTTTCTCTGAGCTGTAGTTTCTCAGTATGTGAGGTGGGAATAAAATAGGAACTTCACAGGCTGTTAAATGTGTCAATGAGAGAATGTATATAAAATGCTTACACAATGACTAGCACAAACTATATTACATATGGTGACTCTCCTATGGTAACAGCTATTTACCAATCTCTGCAGTTGCCTTAATGGAATTGTAACAAAACTGGACATGAAAGGCTATTGTAATTTCAGCCCAATGCCTAACATTTGTGTAAAAACATTTCAGCTTTTCTATGCATAGCATATTTTTCTCCACCAAACATCTGTGAAGGTGATTTTCATTTAACTATTTAATGGGTCAATAACCTCCCTTCTATTTTCATATTCCATCTACATCATCAAAAAAGAAATTTTAATTACCCTTTGGATAAATAATAGGAATAAAATGTCATGAATCAAAACACAGGGTTTATGCATATTCTCTATGAAAAACAGAACTAAAATGTTGTTAATAAATTTTACACCCATTAAGGAAATGTGTGAGTCTACCTGGTAGCATTAAAGTATAGTTGAAACTATTGCTGTGGGATGAAATTATGCTCACTTTAATATTTCCGATATGTTTTCTTTGTGCTAGAAAAAAACAGATATTTTAAAAATGCTGCATTTATCTTTATCTCTCTGTGCACATGAGGATTTCATACCTTATTTTCACTTGAGTTTCTTTGAACAATGAACACTTTGGAGGAGTGTATGCTATATTAGGAATTTATTAGATTTCATCAAATGGCAGGTGGTTATGAATTTTGTTTCCAAAAAGGAGACCCGAGGGATATTCCATATTAAGGGTTTTATTCCCTTTTGGTGGAAACATGCAAATCATTTGTTTTTGCTAAAAAAACTATGAAATATTTCTTTCATTATTTCCCTTGGGAATGGCAGCTCACTATTATTCGTAATTGTAAATGCAGTTGACATTTTGAAGTTTATGTTCATGGGAATAAGATATTTTTTGGACATTTTAGTGATGCCAAGCCCAGGAAAATCTAGTTATTTTTTGCAATACACACGTACATACAGTATGTTAATTGGAGTAACAGAGATGGCCATTTCAAATTGGGCTCTGTTATTCATCTTTTTTTTTAGAGGCAAAGAGTGTTGGTAAGCGAATTTAACCAGAAGAGCAGTAGATTCTTTTGAAATAATGACATAGTGGAAAATAAAAACACATATACACCAAGAAACAATTTGTGAACTAAAACATGATTAAATTTAATCTATTGCCATAAAGTAGAAAATGTTCGAAACAAGGAAGACTGTGTACTTTCAGCTAAACTGAAAATAAAATGACAACAAAAAAGCAGGACTCTCCACAATTCAAGACTTGCTGCTTCTATGATGCCACACTCTTAATTATTTACCCCTGCTATATGAATGAGTGAGTGTTAACACTGATGTATTACACCTAAAAGATTGGAAGAGCATCTTTGATTCCATTCCAGTCCACCATGTCGTGCTAGAACCAGGACATCTGCCCTCCATAGTAAATCTCCATAAAATTTTACTGGGGAGAAAAGAATCCTCTACATATGAGGTAGAGATGTGAATCAGACAAGTCCTTAAATGCATGATTCATCTAACTGCCTCTGAATAATTGGTTAACTTCAGCCACCTGTATATATAAGCATGTAGGTGTTCAATGC
This sequence comes from Homo sapiens, assembly GCF_000001405.40. Lineage (NCBI taxonomy): Eukaryota > Metazoa > Chordata > Mammalia > Primates > Hominidae > Homo > Homo sapiens. The sequence goes on along the minus strand of NT_187504.1, from coordinate 126,626 downwards.
CACCACACACTCTCCACAAACAACAGCTGCCCAGGGTTGCCAAAAGATAATTGCATGGTGGCAAAATGTGCTGCTTGAACAGTGCCAATGTAAAGGATAAAAAACCAGGAACCATATTGTAAGGAAGTGAAGACTGTATTATACTAGGAATTCCACTTTAGAGTCCAATCTGACCATCTGAATCTGAATCGGACTATAGTGGATGGACTGATGCTACCCTGCAGCCTTACTTCCTTAACTTTGTTTCCCCAGGCCCTAATATAAACCCCAGGAAACAGGCATACAGCTGTATGCATTTGGCAGATTACTATCCATTTCATTGTTCAGTTGTTCTGGAAAGGCACCGAATGCAACTGTAGCCTGGAAATATTTGGAAAAATGGTACTGTTCCTGATATCTTTGTTTCTTCCTAAGTGACAGTTGAAGGTGACTGTCCTTTGTACAGTTCTGCCTGCTGTTAGCAATTTTCCAAAATTAAATACCATATTTTGTGTTTGATAGGCACAGCTGCGTCTGTTACCAAGGGCAAGCCCACTTGCACAACACTCTGTGTTCATTTATATACTGAGAACTTTATTTAGAACCCAGTTTTACAGAAAAAAATCAAGTTGGGTGAACCAATTTTGAGGGCAATGAATTCTTGAATTCTACTTTTGGGTTATGAAAAGGGCAAGTTTATTTGCTTCTGATGGAAGTAATATAGGCCTAGTGGATATCTTAGCAGTGCAGAAAATAGGATGTACCATCTACCTATATTAACTGTGTGTGCATTAATTTCTGACTCTGGTTTTAAAAACTCCATTGTGTTCTAAACCTGATAGTTTGGAAAGTTGTAAGACCGAGTCTAGAGACTCATGTTAAAATTCTAAATTTTGGTGCAAGAGGAATAGCTCTCGTTTTTGCCCAAGCCACTTTATTTTTCAATGTCTTCATTATTTTATCTGCCGATTGAACCCATCAGAGTAGAGGAATGCCCAGAATTATTTGAAGCTCTGAAAGTTCTACAATTTGGGCTAGAGAAATGGAATATACTAATTCTACCAATTAAGACACCAACTCTTCAGGCAAAATTAATTTAATACTTGGGGTATGATGGGTTGACCCTGAATATTTACAAGATACTAACATTGGAAAATGTTAGAGTGTGTCACATGGGACAAGAGTCTGTTAAGGTGTTCTACAAGAATGGGAGGTTGTGTGGTTAAACATTTGGCATGCTTGGCACATTTTTTCCCTCTTCCTGGAGAGTTGTAGTTTGCATTCACATTTAAAGGATCTGAGAAATCCTGCAGAAAAGAAAATTATGTAGCTTTGTTTAACCCAATGTTTCCCAAACTTAGTGGACTTTATGCATTCGACATCTTTCCTTTGCTCTTCCAAATTACTCTTCAGCCTTCCCTACCCTGCTCTGTGTTCATGAAACTGACGTGTGTGAGTTCTAACTTAGAGTTTTCTTTCTACTGGCTCCTGGTTGTTTGGCTGTCAAGAGAAACTTCTGGAGGAATGACGGCAGGAAAAGGTATCTGAGGAAGAGAGAAGTAAGGTACTTGTTTCCCTGGCTTCCTCTCTCCAAGCTGACTGCATCTGCCCACCAGAGGTCACATTTCTTGTCAAGTGTTCTCTCCACACAGTTTTCCCTCCAGATTCCTGCAAACTCTTATTTCCCTCCATCCTTTCAGGCATAGTCTGTAGGTTACTGCCTTCCTTTTCAATTTTCCTATAACCTGCCCACATCTATTCAAATAGTGCTTGTTTTAGACATTCCTCAAATTACCAAATTTGAGTGTCATCTTTTTTCTGCAGGAAAAAAGATGATATATACACATGGTATCTTTTTTACCTTGCTGATGCATGATGATATATACACATGAGTGATATATACACATGGTATCTTTTTTACCTGGCTGATGCATGCCATTTTTGTGGAAAAACTGCTATATTTAAAGTGAGGAAAATTATTTTGGTATCAAAGTGTCTGAAACACTGTTGTTGCTTGATTTGCTAACTATAATTGTCCGAACCCTTCTCTATGTGTAGATATATCCTAAAACCAAGTCAGTAAAAACAGGTCCTTCTGAGTCCTATCTGAGTTTATTTTACCATTGTCAGCTTTCTTTTTGCTCTCAGTGGGCCCATGAATGATAACTATCTCCACAGTTAGACATCAGTAAGCCATGCCATTTACCTGATTTGTCAACAGACATTTGTGAAGCATGTTTGTGTGTGTGTGGCATTGAACTAGATGCTGAGAATAAAAAGGTAGAGAAAGATTAACATGATTCCAAGGGTATCCAAAGCAGCCTGTATGCCCACCAATACAACAATAATAAAATGTGAATACCGATAATAAATGTAATAATACCTAACGCTTAACATAGCTCTGAGTACAATAAGACATTTATATAGTTTGAGTGCTTTATCTTAACTCATTCAATCTTCCCAACAACCTTATGAAAAGCTACTGTTATTATCTCTATTTGACAAATAAGAAAAAGATGACAAAGTCAGGCTAGATGAGTCTGTTCATGTTCACATGTAATTAAGTGGTGAGAGTGGATTCTTAGTCTATGTAGTCTGGTCACAGAGAAAGTATAATTAAAAAATGACAAGGAGATGTGCAATAGGAGGGCTTGGCTCAATTGAGATCCAAAGGGCAAAAAAGTAAAGAGAGAAGAGTGTTTCAGAAGGGAAGAACTTGTGCAAAGATACTCTTAAATTGTCTTGACGCTGTTTCATCAGAGCAGACGACATACAAAAAGGCCAGTCAAAATGGAGTTGTTAAGAGGTGGTCTGTACAAATACATCAGTTAAGTACACGCACTTATATTTTCTTTGCTGTGCTATTCACAATAACAAAGACATGAACTCAACCTAGGTATCCATTAGTGGTGGATTGGATAAAGAAAATGTGGTACATACAGGTACCAAGGAACACTATGCAGTCATAATAAAGAATCAAATTATGTCCTTTTAAGCAACATGGATTAAGCTGAAGTCCATAATCCTAAGTGAATTAATGCAGAAACAGAAAATCAAATACCACATGTTCTCACTAATGAATAAGAGCTGGACATTGAGTTTACATGGACATGTAGATGGAAGCAATAGACACCGGGGACTAAGAGAGGCGAGAGAGAGGTGGGGAAGGGTTGAAAAACTACCTATTGGATCCTATGCTAACTCCCTGGATGACAGGATCCATACCCCCAAACTCAGGACTATGCAATATACCTATGTAACAAACCTGCACATGTATCCCCCCATATCTAAAATAAACACTAAAATTTAATTAAAAAATAAATTTAAAAAACTGAAAAAATATATCAGTCATTGACTTTATTGCCCTGATAAGTAGCAATGGCAACTTCACATGTTGACTTAAAACTTTGATTGTCAACCTTTGGTGTTTGCAGGATACTTAAAAAAACTGGATTATTTAATGACACTCTTGAAGGAATTAAAGTATAAAAAAGTTATAGAATATTGAAAACATATTTCCATACTTATTGAATTAGTTGTTTTTAATTTGAGGAGAACCAAAAAACTCTTTACTGTCCTGACCATATTCTCTGATACAGTCATAATGCAAATTTCTTACAATTTCTGGCATATAGGGCATCTTTCTTTAACACTAGCATGCCTTTACATGAAGCCTTATCACTTCTTTGCAGCAACTTGTTCCTCAACTCACTGAGTGTGCATTGTTCTGCCAGAGACATCACTGTAAGAGTATGTCATGTCAAATGTAGCAAAAATTGTTTTTATATGGTATCAGTTATAAAGTGCCTTTGAGGACTGTTTCTTGCTTCCGTGAGAATGCTGACAAGCAGAGTAAACTAAGTGCTCCAATTTCTAAGTTCAGAAAATTACCCATTTTAGTCAGCTTCTGCAGGGCCTTCTAGGACAGGGCACAGCAAAAACACCACTTCTGAAAACCCCAATCCCCTGGACCACATCTAGAGGACTACAGAAGGTAAGAGGGAGAATTCTCAAAGTTGTAGTTATCCATAATCCTACCCCTTCTTATCAAGAGGAGGAGAAAGGCATTGAACTCTCTCTCATCCCTGCCTTTTACAGATGGTCCTGGAATATGGAGAAAAGGAAAGGAGAAAAAGGGCTAAGGTGCCAGAGGAAATTCCCAAAGCAGCCTGCATTCCCTCATAAATCAAATGTATAACATGCAACTCACCTGACACTTATATCATCTTTTCAGTGCTCCAATGGTCATACCCACAAAGAAAAGGGATCCAGGCAACAAGAGGATGGAGGGTAGATTGGTCTTGGACCAGGAGTTTAGGACAAGGTGATGTTGAGGACTTTGAGACAAGAGTGTACATTTTAGTTATTGAATTACATCACAGAAATAATCACACCAGCCTATATTTTTCACCAAAAATGAATGAAAAGAAAATTATGTCTGTTCTAGGCAGATGGAGGTCAAAGGCTGCTCTAGATCCAGAATCTTAACCTATATCAAGATTCATGTTCATGCATAGCTTTATTGAAACTCTTGGCTCAAATTGACTTACTTCCCTAATGTCAAAATTTGAGAGCCCATTTGTAAAATGGCTTAGTGTAATGCACTGTGGATGATCAATCAAGAGTCACTAGTCTGTGTTCTTATTGGAGAAAATAATATTGCTTTTCTGTGTACATCTGTGTAAGAAATTTCACTTAGACATGAATGCTAAGAAAAACTACAATCCTTTCCAAGCAATAGACATATCCTTTTATGTTTCATAAAATTATCTCTTCATCTGGAATAGTAGAAGTTTTTATTCAGGCTTGCTTTATGCTTTCTCAAAGCTACAGTTATGTTTAACATATTTGCTTTATTTCTATTCCAATGCCTTTGTCATATTTTATGTTAACATTTTGTGTTGAACTATCTAGCCTATCTACCTTATCTATCTATCTATCTATCTATCTATCTATCTATCTATCTATCTATCTGTCTGTTTATTTTATTATATCAAAATCTTCCTGCAAGTGTTGATGTCTAAATAAATTTGATAATGTTTATTAGATAACCTTCATATGTAATTGATTTGCTCATCTATTATCCATAGAACTTGGAAACATATTTGTAGATAAAAGTTACAGATGTATAAATACATTGATAGATAATGCAGTTATATAAAAGTATATATATTAAATTTTAACCATATAAACATGTAACCAGACATATACAGATTTTAGTAAATTTCTTTTGACTTTTTATTTTTAAATGTGAACAAAAATAGTTGGTGATGATGGTGTCTGAATCTGTGGTCCCAATTGTAATCTCACAACTCCAAGTTCCCAACACAGTTGGAAACATCATTTATCTACCGAATTCTTCTGTTGGTGTTTTTCTCCCAGGGAAGCAGAGAAAATAAAGAGTTTTCTGCTTTTAATGTTTCTGCTTTTTATGTTTGTCACAGTGCTCTGCTTTTAGCAAACACCCTGATACACTAAAAGTTTGCTTTTTATTTAACCTTAAAAATTTCTTTGGTAAGCTTGTCCTAAAAACTTGACCCAGAATTATACAAATGCCATTCAAACATCTATTTGTGCATCTCTTTTTTTTCACTTCAACTGAAAATATACTTTCTCTAAAATGTACATTTGCAATAGGAATATATTACTGATGGTGGAAATAAATTTCCATGTAAATTCATATTGTCCTTCTACATAGTGAAATGACAGCGTTTTGGAAGTCACGTGCACACAGCTCCCCAGGGAATCTCACATCTATTATCCATTTCATGCATTGTGAGGCTTTTATGGCAATGTCCATACCCTTCATTTTAGATAGATCTATCAGTCTCTCGGTACTATCCATGCACTTTGGATCACTAAGACTCCTCCTGAGTAGACGACATACTAATATGTGACTAGTAATTGAATTTTTGACATATGCAAAAATGTTGTAAAATAGATAAGAGAGAAAGTGCCATAAATAGATATCTAAAAGAAGGGAACAGATGGCCTCTTTGTGAAGATGTTTGGATAAAGCCAAAACATGACAAACAGATGGTTTATACATATGGGGTAGGTTGACAACGGAACCTGAAGCTGGTGGGGCATAATGCACAGAGCTCCAACTTTTCCTAAAAAACCTGAAGTTTGGTCTATAAGAGGAAAGTATTACAGACTACATAAAAACATAGACAATTGCTGAGGAGAGCTTTACTTCCAACTATGTGTTCAATTTTGGAATAGGTGTGGTGTGGTGCTGAAAAAATGTATATTCTGTTGATTTGGGGTGGAGAGTTCTGCAGATGTCTATTAGGTCCACTTGGTGCAGAGCTGAGTTCAATTCCTGGGTATCCTTGTTAACTTTCTGTCTCATTGATCTGTCTAATGTTGACAGTGGGGTGTTAAAGTCTCCCATTATTATTGTGTGGGAGTCTAAGTCTCTTTGTAGGTCACTCAGGACTTGCTTTATGAATCTGGGTGCTCCTGTATTGTGTGCATATATATTTAGGATAGTTAGCTCTTCTTGTTGAATTGATCCCTTTACCATTATGTAATGGCCTTCTTTGTCTCTTTTGATCTTTGTTGGTTTAAAGTCTGTTTTATCAGAGACTAGGATTGCAAACCCTGCCTTTTTTTGTTTTCCATTTGCTTGGTAGATCTTCCTCCATCCTTTCATTTTGAGCCTATGTGTGTCTCTGCATGTGAGATGAGTTTCCTGAATACAGCACACTGTTGGGTCTTAACTCTATCCAATTTGCCAGTCTGTGTCTTTTAGTTGGAGCATTTAATCCATTTACATTTAAAGTTAATATTGTTATGTGTGAAGTTGATCCTGTCATGATGATGTTAGCTGGTTATTTTGCTCGTTAGTTGATGCAGTTTCTTCCTAGCCTCGATGGTCTTTACAATTTGGCATGATTTTGCAGTGGCTGGTACCGGTTGTTCCTTTCCATGTTTAGTGCTTCCTTCAGGAGCACTTTTAGGGCAGGCCTGGTGGTGATAAAATCTCTCAGCATTTGCTTGTCTGTAAAGTATTTTATTTCTCCTTCACTTATGAAGCTTAGTTAGGCTGGATATGAAATTCTGGGTTGAAAATTCTTTTCTTTAAGAATGTTAAATATTGGCCCCCACTCTCTTCTGGCTTGTAGGGTTTCTGCAGAGAGATCCGCTGTTAGTCTGATGGGCTTCCCTTTGTGGGTAACCTGACCTTTCTCTCTGGTTGCCCTTAACATTTTTTCCTTCATTTCAACTTTGGTGAATCTGACAATTACGTGTCTTGGAGTTGCTCTTCTCGAGGAGTATCTTTGTGGTGTTCTCTGTATTTCCTGAATCTGAATGTTGGCCTGCCTTGCTAGATTGGGGAAGTTCTCCTGGATAATACCCTGCAGAGTGTTTTCCAACTTGGTTCCATTCTCCCGTCACTTTCAGGTACACCAATCAGATGTAGATTTGGTCTTTTCACATAGTCCCATATTTCTTGGAGGCTTTGTTTGTTTCTTTTTATTCTTTTTTCTCTAAACTTCCCTTCTCGCTTCATTTCATTCATTTCATCTTCCATCACTGATACCCTTTCTTCCAGTTGATCGCATTGGCTCCTGAGGCTTCTGCATTCTTCACGTAGTTCTTGAGCCTTGGCTTTCAGCTCCATCAGCTCCTTTAAAGCACTTCTCTGTATTGGTTATTCTAGTTATACATTCGTCTAAATTTTTTTCAAAGTTTTCAACTTCTTTGCCTTTGGTTTGGATTTCCTCCTGTAGCTTGGAGTAGTCTGATCATCTGAAGCCTTCTTCTCTCGACTCGTTGAAGTCATTCTCTGTCCAGCTTTGTTCCGTTGCTGGTGAGGAGCTGCGTTCCTTTGGAGGAGGAGAGGCGCTCTGCTTTTTAGAGTTTCCAGTTTTTCTGCTCTGTTTTTTCCCCATCTTTGTGGTTTTATCTACTTTTGGTCTTTGATGATGGTGATGTACAGATGGGTTTTTGGTGTGGATGTCCTTTCTGTTTGTTAGTTTTCCTTCTAACAGACAGGACCCTCAGCTGCAGGTCTGTTGGAGTTTGCTAGAGGTCCACTCCAGACGCTGTTTGCCTGGGTACCAGCAGCAGTGGCTGCAGAACAGCGGATTTTCATGAACCGCGAATGCTGCTGTCTGATCGTTCCTCTGCAAGTTTTGTTTCAGAGTAGTACCCGCTGTGTGAGGTGTCAGTCTGCCCCTACTGGGGGGTGACTCCCAGTTAGGCTGCTCGGGGGTCAGGGGTCAGGGACCCACTTGAGGAGGCAGTCTGCCAGTTCTCAGATCTCCAGCTGCGTGCTGGGAACACCACTGCTCTCCTCAAAGCTGTCAGACAGGGACATTTAAGTCTGCAGAGGTTACTGCTGTCTTTTTGTTTGTCTGTGCCCTGCCCCCAGAGGTGGAGCCTACAGAGGCAGGCAGTATGGCACACTCAATTCATCTTCCTGGAAACCTCCATTTACATTTTATTGTTCAATCCAGAAGTAAATAACTTACATTCAACTATTGAGAAAAATTTTAAATGTGAGGACTACAGGGTAGATAAACTTCAAATATCTCAACTGGTACCCAGCTAAGTTCATGTAGACTTAGGATTAATTTTTTTTACAATATTGGCTTTGCCTTGTTTTATTTGCTTTAGAAATGAAATCTTAAGAACGTTGAAAATATGCTGGCTTATTTCTCCCTATAGAAATATATTGCTAGTTATTTCTACTTGTATAAAATATATAGGGTTTCTACTTGTATAAAATATATAGGGTTTTTTGTTGCTTGTTTGTTTGTTTTATTAGAACAAATGGAGTCAATGAGCTCTCTCTTCTGTAGCACTTTCCATGTTGAATAATTCTCAACACAAGGAAACAAACCTTTTTTCTTTTTAAAAATAATTACACAAGCAGGTCTTGAAAAATTTAGCTTACACAATGCAGTATTATGTAGATTTAAATGTGTCCTCATCCTGCCCACTGCTGTCTTATATTTATTTTAAATTACCATTCTATTCTGATTTTTTTTTAGTGGTAGTCATTGCTATAATTTCAACATACATTATATTCTGTCATTTTCTCTGACTTTACTTGTGTATACACGTGTCCAAATTCATATATATGGATTTTATTAAAACCATAATTTAATAATTTTGTTTACATGCTTTTTTTCTGTTAACAATAGCTTAGGTTTTATACAGCTATCCCTCTCATTTTGATTGAGAACTACGTAATATTTCATAGAATGAAAGTACCATAATAGCTTATTCCATTAAAAAATCTGTTACTCACCATGCTTCATCATGCATACATGAAGATATATATTTATGGTCATGTGTAGAAAAATAAAAGCAGAAATATTAAGTGAAATTAAAAATATATAACCTTTACAAGATTTCTAATAGATGCTAGCAAATTGCATTTAACAAATTATTTTCTCTCCAAGACTGTACGAAAATGACATAACCCCATCCCCTACCAGAAATGAATATCAAATTAATCTTGATTTTACAAGTATTAGTATGCAGATATCATAAGGGTTGTTAGTTAATAACAACAACTGAGTATAATTTGAGCTGTTAGAAAATTATTTTCTTATATCTAAGGTAAAATTTTCCCTTAATATTGATTTATTGGTCTTAGCTCTACTCTTGGTATCAAAGAGAAAATGCTTCTATTTTGTTTATGTAACAATTTTTCCACATACAAAGTAGTCACATGGTAAAAGACTGAATAGACTGCTAAAGCCCTACATAAAGAGCAACCCATATGTTACCTGTGTCTTCTATGGTTACTTGTGTCAAAGAGATTTCAATAATATGGTGCAAATTTTAAGGGGTCACATTTATTTTTCCCAAGATGTGATCTGTGTATTCGTGTTGCCTTCACAATTCAGGCAAGAAGGTTGCTACTCAGGGCTTTTCTTTATCCCCATTTCTCCCATCACCCCCCACCAGAAACTATATTAATTACACATGCAGATCAAAATCACCAGGTTTTATTTTAGTTCTACTTTACTTGCCCTTTGGAGGCCAACCTCCCATATTTCCACCCATCCTTTTTGTTTCTTCCTAGCTACTGTCATTTTCTTTTCATATTTTTTCTATTAATCTCCATATCGTTCACGGTGTTTATCATGCTATTCCATTGTAATTAATGTCTCTGGGTTATGAAAGAGCAGATTTAACTTCTGTTTCACTTAGATGTGCTTTATCCCTGAGTAACATGATGCATGAAAGGATGGACTTGGTGGATTTGGAAATGGAAATGAGACCCATAATGCTTTGCAGCAAATATGCCTGATTCTGAATTTGAAAACTCGTTTAGTTTAGATTCCAATTGTATCTTAAAATAAATTTAGGTTCCACAGACATTTTACTAAGTGTCTGCTTTGGGTCAGGCATAGCCCCAGGAACTCTCACACTGTATTGTTACGTTAACAAAAGTTATTAAGTGTATGAGAGTGAAACTGTGGAATGAAAACTGCATTTCGTATCAGAGAGAAAAGAAACAACTTACATTTTACATATTAAAATATAAAAAATCCAATATTTTACATGTGAATCCTGTGGGATTTCATACTGCTTGTATACATTAGCTCAAGTGATATTAATTGCAATATGGTGGAATACTAATAGTTTCATTTTTGCAGGAGAGAAAATCGAGTGTTACAGATGCTGACATCCTTGCCACTATCCTACAGCTATTCAATGACATTCCAGGGCTAGGTTTCTGGTGTTTTTCTTTTTCTCTGGCTTCCAAGAGAATGGCAAATTATTTCTTAGTTTTGATTGCCTTATCCCAGTAGTCTCCGTAATCAACAGAAGCAGCAACCGAGGTTCTCTACTTATTAGTATGCATGGGTTTGTGTTTTTTTAACGAAGTAAATATATTTTATTGAGTCCAAAATCTTTGTAATTTTCCTTAATAAATCAGGAAAGAAAGCATTGTGACTTTTTTTCCAATATAATCCTGTATTTCCATGAAGATGGCTTCTTTCAGTGTTTATTTTGTTAAGCACATAGTCTATACATCTTTGTTAAATAAATGAATATGGAGCTTCTATTTTTCATAAATAATTTTATGCATGGTTCCAAACTGACCTGTCTGTATATTTTTATCACCTCAAGCCGCAATATATTGATAGTATTTATTGAGTATCCATTTGATTATAGCACCATATTTCGTGCATATATGTTTTTATTCAATATTTGATACATTGGGAGAAAAAAATGAATACATTAAAAGTACCGACTGTTTTATTTCTTCCAATATATCTTTTTCTATACTGATATAGTTTATAGCTTTATAAATTCTAATAGCTACATTCTTTTTCATTCTCTTGATAAACTCTTTTGATTAAACATTTTGCAATTGTTGAACTTCATAGTTGATTTTTTTTTTTTTTTTTTTTGGAGATGGAGTCTCGCTCTGTCACCCAGGCTGGAGTGTAGTGGCGTGTGGTGTGATCTCGGCTCACTGCAACCTCTGCCTCCTGGGTTCAAGCGATTCTCCTGCCTCAGCCTCCCGAGTAGCTGGGACTACAGGGCCCTGCCACCACGCCTGGCTAATTTTTGTATTTTTAGTGGAGATGCAGTTTCAACATATTGGACAGGCTGGTCTCGAACTGCTGACCTCAAGTGATCTGCCTACCTTGGCCTCCCAAAGTGCTGGGATTATAGGAGTGAGCCACCGCGCCCAGCCTCATTGTTGATTTTTTAAAGCAGGGACTCTAAGTTTGCATGTCAACTATAGTAAATGCATGTTACATACCCTTTTTCCATTTTTTTTTGCTTATTTTTAGTTTGTTATATGAAACCTGTTATTGATATAACCTCAAAAAACTTGCATGTGTCTAAAGTATGTTTACATATATTTACAGCAGTGGTACTGTCATTAAAGATTTTAGGGCAGAGGGCAGTTTGCATCCTTATAGATACAATTACAAATATCTCTGTTCTTTCTTTTGTAACTACAAAATGCCTTCTGAAAGTAAAAGCATGGGTAATAGTTCTAAAGGCACTTTGATTATTTTTTGGAATATCATTCCTGAATTGAGCTGTGTGCGATATCAAAGAATTGGGCTTTTCATTAGTCAGGATGTTTGTCCTCAATTGTTTCCTTAATGATGGTTCTTTCATTGCTGGAATGTCCTGTTTCTCCTGATGTATTTATTAACCATGAGTTGACTCATTCTATTTTTGAGGTATGTTTCTTCTGCAGGAATAAGCTACATAGGTAATTAAGCCATTTTTCTAATTTGCCTTTTAAATATACACAGTGTGCAACAACCCTTTTTTAATACTGCCACTTCAATTTTGCCTTTTGAAAATACCAATAATATTTTTCTCAACAATTTCTTAGTTTACTACAGGTTTTCTTTATTGTTTTATATTCTATTTTAGTAGTCATTGCTTTTTTCTTTTATTTATATAATCATGCTTTTTTCATGATTATTAAAAAAGTAGTTTCTCTAGTATGGATATTTTTGGCAAATTTTGTTGTTTCTTTATTATTTTTTGTATTTCTTTTATTTAGATCTGACACCCTACCCTCGTTCCTCTTTTACTTTGTTCATAATTTTGAAGTCTCCCGCTGACACTTACTACTTTTTCTTTACTATATAACTATTTTTTTCTTTTTTAATTTTTATTTTAAGTTTGGGGTGCATGTGCAGGTTCGTTGCAGAGGTAAATTTGTGTCATGGGAGTTTGTTGTGCAGATTATTTCACTATCCGGGTATTAAGCCTAGTACCCTGTACAGTTATTTTTCATGTTATTTTCTTGAGTATAAAAAGTGGTAAAATGTACTCCATTTATATGAATATTCCATGTCTTTCAACTTTAGTAGAATTTATGCTTATTAATAGCTTTTTTTTCCCATATCACTGGCAATGGAATAAAACCAAACATCTGTTTCTTTGTTGCTATCAGCATATTTAGGAATTGACAGAATCATTTGATTGAAAATTCTCTAAATATGATCACAGTACTTTATGGATTTTCATCTTTTTTAACAACATAGATATGGATTACATTTGCCTTATAATCATGTGTTTGTGATTCAAGCAGATATACCAGTACTTAGATGGTTCTCAGGAGAGACTCCATTTCTCAGTCTAATACTGGTATAGGGGAAAGGAATTTAAACTATTTTCAGAAAAAAAGGTCATCCATACCGCGTGTCATGTTCTTTGCATTTATTCTAGTTTTAAGGTTCTTTAATATTTAACATGGAGATGTTACTGCTTTTCTCACCAAGTTATAATAGAGGATGTTTAGGGTTGAATAAAATAATATATGTTAAACATTTTACTTTATGGTTTATATACTATTAGTATTATGCTTATTTTATATATTGCCATTATCTTATCATGAAATAACAAAAATGCGGGGGGTGGGGGTCTATCGATTTTGAGTTATGGTTTGCTAACTGCGTTGTCCTGAATGATTTCTCTCATCATGAAAAAGTACACAGTGGGTGGAATTGCAAACATCAATTCTTCTGGTAGTGTACACAGGCTTCTGTAAGTTAGGAAAATCCTTCGACAGTTATGGCCTTCAAATTCCCCTTCAAGACAGCTGTACAATAGACTATTGCCATATTTCAATTTTCTCCCCATGAATTGTTCACATTAGTTTCTCAATCTAAAATGTCTTTTGGTGTGGTCTTATTTTTAATGTGAACTGGCTTAGAGGTCAAAGATTAATTGCCAATAATATTCCTGAAAAGAGTAGAAAACTACTTTTAAGTAAAACATTCCACTTAATCCAATAGGTCTTTATTCTTCATAAACCAAATGTCCTTTCTGAATAATATTTTTCCTACTGAGTTAGATATTTTGGTAAGTCCTGTAGATACCTCAGTTTTAATATGGCCAAAAATATCTATCATTTCCTCTCTTCAAACTATTTCCCTCTATTATTCTTAATTTTGATTACTATAGCCATTATCTACATACTTTTTTGAAGCTTAAAACCTAAGAATTGACATGGACAACTTCCTTTTTTCATTCCCACAATAAACTGTTCATTAAATCCTTTTGAATCGACTTCCAAATGCTTCTCAAATCCAACCTCTCCTCTGGTCTCCTTGCCTTTTGTCAATACTTTACTTCAGGCAAACTTTATCTATTCTCTGGCCTATAGCTGAACATCCTGACTTGTGTCCCTACTCTCAGTTGTTCCTTAGTCTTTCATTCCTGGACATCTCATTAAATTCTCTACATAGTTCCCAAAGTTACCTACCCATTATATCATAATATCATTTTTAAAGGTTTAAAAGGTTTTTGATGCAATATCATTAGCTATTAGAGAAAAGCAAAGTAAAGCTACAATAACATGCCACTATACACTTAATAGAATGGGAAAAGTAAAACCATGCTGACAATATCAAGTGCTGGTAAATATGTGGAACAACTGGATCTCTCCTGCATTGGTGGTGAGAATGTAAATTGATACATTTATTCTGAAAAACAGTTTGGCAGTCTTTTATAAAGTTAACCATATCTTTATCACATGACATATAAATCACAATCTTTAGTGTTTATCTCAGAGAAATGGAAACTTACATTCACGAAAAACCAGAACACTAAAATGCATAGGAACTTTATTTGTAATAGCCCTAATCTGGAAAAACTCAATTGTCGTTCAATGAATGAATGAATAAACAAACTGTGGTACATCATTACAACAGAATACTACTCAGAAATGAAAAAGAATAAGCTATTAATAGACACAATAACTTGAATATATATTGAGGCTAAGTGGGAAAAAAGCCTATCTCAAAAGGTTACTTACTGTGTGATTCTATTTATTTAAAAGCCTAAATATGATGAAATGTAGGGATGGAGAACAGATCAGTGGTTATTAGGGGTTATGGTATGAGGAAGTGGAGGGTTGTGACTATTAAAAGATAAATTTCTTTATGTTGATAGAACAGTACTCTATCTTGATTGTAGTGATACACTAATCTATATATGTCATGGAATCTATAGAACTATATACTAAGGGAAGAAAAGATGACTCAAAAGTAGATGAAATCACAGTATGATCTGTAGTCTAGTTAATAGCATACCTATATCAATTTTTTGGTTTGGATGAACTTCTTTGCTTACAAGTTTCTTTGGGAACCTCTGTACTATTTTAAAAACTTGTTTATCTTAAACTATTTCAAAATAAAATCTTATTCAAGGGAAAAAAATAAAGGCTTCTACTGATTCCCAAGACCAAGAGAGATAAAAATCAATTTTTTACCAAGACATATAATATGAATCCAAGTTGTTTTTAAACTCTCTAATCATCACTCTTCTTCATTCTTGCAAGTACTTCATATCTTAGCCATTGGGAAATCACAGATATGCACAGAATGCCTTCTTTCACCTCTCATTGACAAATTCCCACTTATCTTTCAATACATGGGCTAAACTCTTCTTTGAGGATCTTCTCAAATCTCAAGTGCTGCTCCTACTCTGCTGCTGTAACACTTCATCATACATTTTTTGAGAAATTATCACAATCCATTGTTTTTTTTTTCTGTTTATGCATCAGTTTCTTTCTTTAGACAATGAACTGGACAGATGGTATAGCACTGTTCCAGGTTCCTCTCAGAGGAGACAATATTAGCCTAATTACTTTATAAGCTCAATCTAAAACTAATTTTACAACCAAGCCCAAAATAAATTAATGTTTTGTATTAATTGAGCTGTTGCACTTAGACTTGGTTAATATAAATATTTTTATTTTCTTCCACCCACAAGGAATGTCTACTTTGCATTGTTGTTTCTGATCTCCATATTCTTGCCATATTAGCAGAACTTCAGTGTTTCAAATATATTTTTTAAAGCAAGCTTCATGGATCTAATAAACACTAATACCATCCGTGCTTTTCTATAGCCCAGGGAAATTCTATCTAGAGTTACAGGACATTTTTGAATAGAGTTAGAAATATATACAGTTCTCTTGGAGTCCATAACATTTTATTTCCCAAATATTATGTTTGTGGAATCTAATACTTGCTGTTGTGTGCTATTATAGGCACAGTTTTAAAAACATTTGTTTTATATATAAGCTCTTGGGTCATGATCTCAGGAAGTCATTTTAGATTATGTTGGTTTTGTATGATAGAATCACTTTTTAAAAGTGATAATAGTACAACATGACAGACAGTGGTAATTGACCATAGAAAACAAAAGCAGAAAAATATATTTGTATGAAGCAAAGCAAATTATGTATTAAGTTGGATGCCATAATTGTAATAATATGTTGAGATGCCTACTAATTCTAACCTCTTATTCAACCTAGTTTTTAAGGATTTTTTCCTATTCTTTTTATCATCAGTAAGCCAAGGTCTGTTCCTCCTTCTGTAATAGCTTTTTGCTTTACTATAGACAGCATAGAGTAAATGCAAAAGTTTTAATCAATACAATTAAAATGATTCACAAACCTTCCAGTGACATCTTTGCCAAATTTCATACTCTATATTATGAAGTTCTGCATGAAAAGCTTTGACTGTTTTTCTAATCTCATTGTATATCCTCCTTTTATGTAGTACACCCCAGACTTATTGGCCTTCTTGTTCTTCCAACAATCCAGGCTTGCACTGGTTTGGGAACTTTAGCTGTTATCCCTCTTCAGGGTGTAATGCCTCAAGATTTCACACACGACTTTTTCTGGTTTTTCAGATCTTAGTTTAAGTGTCACTTTCCCAGAGAGGCCTTTTCTGAGTATCCAACTTAAAGTAATCTTGTCATAGTGTGTGTGCCAATGTTGTCTTATAACAGCTCACTAGGGCTTATGGTATACCTCTTTCCAACTATGTATTGAGTGATGTCATATTAGTATATTTAAATTAGTCATGTTGGGAATGTTTTCATCACAGAAAATGGCAAAAACTCGGCTTGCTTTGTTCCTTTTAGAGAGCTGGTTATTAAACATTTGTCAGCATACCATAGCCTATATTGCCTATTAATATGTGACTCTTTATATTCTTTATATTTCTTGCAACCTTTAATTTCTCTTCTGAAAACTCTATTCATATGCATCTATTTCTAGTAGAATATAAGTTTGATAAGAACCAATTCCCTGCTGTCTTGCTAGTGCCTAGAATACTGCTTTCCACATCATGAATGTACAGTAAATATTTTTTGAATGAGTAAATTACTAGGCTAACCTATCTGTTATTCAGTTATGATGAGTTTATTAATATTTAACATCCATTAGTTGATTTTTAAAATAAAACATCTATTCTTCTATGAATGATTTCCTTAAGTAACATTGGATATATATGTATGCTATATTATTAGTCTCTTTCAATTAGTCAGATGCCCATTTCAAGACAGCTCATTAGATTTGCTTTATCCCAACATATAAACTTCACTCAGAAGAGAGAACTTTCAAATCCTTAAATCATCTAAGAAATCTCTCCAATTCTTTCATGTCAAGGTTAATAATTAAATGTTTAATATCTCTTTAAGCTATTAAGCTAACAATAAAAATGCAATATTTTAACCCAATTTACTTGATTAAGGAACAATCCCAGATGTGATTTAACATGAAGAATTGCAGTGATCTGCAGTTCATTAAAATCTGAATACTAAAAAGAGAATTTTAAACATATTATATAAAGAAGTTCGTTTACCTCTTTTCCATAAAGAAATATTATCTTCATTTTCCTTAAAGCATGTTGATTATCATTAGTTACTGGATATACCTAACATGAATTATTGCCTTTTTCCCTGCAGAGCTGTGTACTGGTAGTTATTAAATAGCCCATTATCAACTGAAATTCAGATGCAGGTTTTATTCTCCTTTTTTCTGACCATATTTTTCTGCTAGTGTTTATTTATTTACTTATTTTCATTAAAATGACCATGACCTTGGTGTTAAAATCAGTAATGTATACAGAAAATTCATTTGGAATGCAATAGTTATAATTCAGTTCTGAAAATTTATGTTTATCAAAGTATAAAATATTTTTGTTATAACTCTTTTAACTTTTCCTAAAGTGATGTGTGAGCATGATGTAATGTGTAGCAGAGGTCCAAATTTCCTTTAAGAATATTGCTTAGACCTCATATCATCTTCTAGCCTCACTATAAGCAAATTGAGAACTGCAATCATTTGATGGTTTTAGGACTTAACAAGAAAAGAAAATATTAAAAATCAGATGTCCTACACTGAGAGTTTTATCTTCTAAAGAACTATTTCCTCTTTTATGTTAAGTACCTCCAAAGTATGATGTTGTTAACGTGAGCACATATGTGCACAAATCAGAGCTGCGCTACAGCGCTGAGGAACTACATGTGGATCCTGAGACCCAGTTTAGCTGAAAAAGTACATCTGTGAGCAAATTGCATTGAATTTTATTATTAAGCATCTGATGAAGTGGTTCACCTTTTGTTTTTAGGTCCACATTTGCTGAAATGTAACTCTTACCTCATGCACTGGGAGTGATGAACTTCACTAGGAATCATCGTTCTTTCTGGTAAGTCACCACAGCACAAAACTGCAACCATTGTTTAGTAACAACTAGACTCTGATAGATGCTGTGGAGAATTTGACTAGAAGTAGGAGGATCATTTACTACACGGCAAAAAAACAAATCAGTTTATCTTAGAAAGGTTAAAATTTACATGGATAATAAAGAAAGGAAGAAGAAGAGTGATAAATTAGTGAGAAAAGAACAGTAAGTGTTATTATAGCAATATGCTTAAATGAAAGAGAAAAATATGGCAGAAGCATTTATTGATTTGAGATTGTAATTTTTTTAAATAAAAAAGCTTAGTCTGGATTCCAACTTGTATATAAAATTAGGAGCAAAGGTATGATTAATATGTTCATGGAATATAATTATCAAGAAACCACAGACATTTGTGTATGGAGGACACAGAAAGGAGAGAACCTGCTAACAGGAATCCCATTAAAGAAGCTTCAGAATTTGAAGATCAGCAAAGAGAAGGAAGAGATGAGAATGAAAGGCTTTACGAAGGAATGAAATGACAGTCATTGCATTTATTGATGTATCTGTATTTAAACATAAGTATATTTATTTATATTTGAACATAACTGAGTTTTCTAGCAAAATTAATAAGGATTATGCTACAGGCATACTCAGTTACAATCTTAGAGGGATTCTGAGAACTCTTTGACAGGTTATTTACTTATAGTTTGTCAGTAGTTTCTAAACATTTTTGGATGCACATCTCTATAAGTAATAATATTTGAGCAAGTAAACTTCAGTACTATATTTGTTTATTTATATGTACACAATTTTTCTAATATATAATGTAAAAATACCTACTAAAATTGATGAGATAAGATAAATGTAAACAGAATTTTTAATAAATTATTTCTACCACAGCAGATCATTTTTGTATGCATCCCAATCTGGAGACTACGCAGTTTGATTTGGCATTACTATTGATTTGAAATAGAGTTTTGTTTATTTAGTTCATTGTTACAAAGAATAGGAAATACAACATAGAGGCTCCCCTCCTAGAATCAAACTAAGTTTAGCATATTATCAACAAATGCTTGCCTCTGAAAAAATACTAATCACTTCTTGTATTAATGAGACTTTATCCAATTTAATTTCATATATTGAATGAGGTTAGGCATTCATTAGAACAAGTCATGACAGGCTAACATTTGTATTTATTAATAGTATGGTAGATATTGATCTTTTTTTCTTCTGAACAACAGGCATTCTATTTTCTAACTATTCTTTCCTCATTTCATGTGATTTGGATGAGGCTATAAATCATAGGACCCTGCTCTTTCAGCTTAGTCTAATTTTGGCACAAAGTATGCATTTAATAACTGATAACAATTATTACTACTACTGTAATTATTACTATTATTGTAGTTATAGGTGCTAATTGGGATTTGTAGAGAGTCCCATATTTGCTCTATGGAATAAACCAAAAGTTGATCAACTCTTTCTGTAAAGGGCCAGATAGTCTATGTTTTGGGCTTTGAGGACATTATGTTCTCTGCCATAACCACTTAACTCTGCCATTGTAACATAAAAGTAACCAGACAGTACATCAACGAATGAATGTGGTTTTGTTCCAATAAAACTTTAGCTGTGAATACGGAGGTGGGTTTGATTTAATTTGAGGGCCATAGTTTGCCAAACCCCAGAAAAAAGCATACAAAATTTACTGAATGCCAATCTGTACAAACGCATAGCTAGTGTGTTAATACATAAATATGCATACAGTCATTCATTATATAATAATTTAGTTCAATAGTGGTCTGCATATACCATGGTGGTTCCATAAGGATGTAATATCATATTACTGCTGTACATTTTTTATTTTGACATGTTTATATACATAAATACTTACCGTTGTGTTACAATTGCCTGCAGCATTTGGAACAATCACAAGCTATACAGGCTTAAAAGTGAAGAGCAATAGGCTCTATACCACATAGCCTAGGTGTGTAGTAGGCTATATCATGCAGGTATACATAGAGCATAAGTACATTCTATGATGTTGACACAACAAATCACCTAAGGACTCATTTCTCAGAACATTTCCCTGTCATTAAGTGATGCATGACTACACACGTACCTGAAACTATAAATAACTTTGAAGCATAAATAGTTGGTTGCTTTCTGGTATTTAAAATCAAGCCTACTTTTTAGGCTAAGCGATAGAAGAATAAGAAAATGCTGATTTCTTTCAATGTTTCTTTTGCTTTCATTATGAACTGAATGCTTGTATGCCCCCAACATTTATATGTTAAAGCCTGATTCCCAATGTGATGTCATTTGGAGGTAGATCCTTTACAGGTAATTAGGTCATGAGAGTGGAGCACTCATTAGTGGTATTAGTGCCCTTATAAGAAGACACAGGATAGAGTGTGCTTCCTCTTTATCTTTTTCCACCATGTGAGGAAGCCATGGAAGAAGGTGATCATCAGAACCTAACCAGGCTGACACCCTGCTTTCAGACTTTCAGCCTCCAGAACTGTAAGAAATACATTTCTGTTGTTTAAGCCACCCAGTAATGTGTTATAGCAGCCTGAACCAACTAAGTCAGCTTTCATTATTTGTTTCTTTATGATTTGCTGATCTTGTTTTGTGCTTCACAAAGATCCACATAAAACGTCGATCCCCCCAGTAGTTCACTTGCAGTTGGTCAATTTCCTGCAGCAGAGCTAATCAACTCATTGCAGACTCTCCTTGCCCTTCTATTCTAGTTGGTCTAAGTTTGATCTGTAAAGTATAGTTTCTATGTCAACTTTAATTTTGCTATGCACTTTTTCCATGTCTTTAAAACTACATAAATACATGTAATATTTAAACACTGTGGTTTATTTTAATCTATGAAAAACCTATTATTCTGTTCCATTTTTCAAAATACATTTCTCAATTACAATGATGCTATAAGTTTTATAAACTCCCTTTTATTAGGCAAGGAAAAAATGCCCCTCTTCTAGATAGAGGGCCTCCAAGTTAATTCATCAGCAGTAAACATTTTTTTTCCTACGGTTAAATTGATGTATTCACTGTTCTGTCCTTTCTTACTTCTCAACATTAACCCTCCAACAACCTGGATTTTCCTGTGGTCTCTGAAGAATTTTCTGCTAAATAATGTGTCCATCACTACTTTTGACTTATAATTTCTATTTTAATAAAAAATTAAAAGATTGATTTTTTAAAATTAAAACATTTTATTTTTAATAAACATTAAAAGACTGTTACCATTAAAATACATTGATTCTATATATATTTTTTCTCTATCCTTCCTTTGAATGACGCTCAAGGCATTTCTTCCATTATGCCTACAGACGTGTGTTATAACACATTCTTTGCCAATCCTTGAAATAAATGCTTAGCAAAGTAATCTTTTAGTTGTATCAGGAGGAAAAGCTATTTGCTTTCTGTCATCACAGACCAATCACAGGTCCTATTTCAACTTCATTTATTAATATTGAGTCAGGTATGCTGCTCAGATTCCTTTGTATATGCAAAACTGTCTCCACAAATTGGTGTTTAATGTCTACAAGAAAAAAAAAGAGTGGCTATATTTGTAGCAAAAGGTAAACTCATTGATTTTCATCTCCAGAAGCAATACAAGGATCATTTATTTCCTTGAGAGATAATTTCTTATATGTATAGTAATCAAGGATAGCAACACAAATGAAAATGTAATTATGAGTACTGCATACCATATTGGTTTTTTTCTTCTATTTCTTCTGTTTTTGTTAATTGTCAAAGCCAAGAGTATGTCAAGCTGAGAAAATGTCATTAATGAGGACATAGATTAAATGGTCTGTGGGTAATTAATGATGACTGCAATGTCTTTCTCACTTTCTGCATAAAAGATGGGGTTTATTGCTTCTCTCTTTGAACCTGGGTTAGCTCTGTGACTGCTTCATCAGTAAAATGTGGTAGAAATGACATGGTGACAGCTGAAAGTTTATATTTTAAGCAGAGTCTGCTCCCATTTCCTATTGCTTGGAGTGCTTGCTCTGGGGAAAACTAGATGCCCTGTAAGATGTGTGAATATTCAGAACTCGACACGCTATGAGGACTCCAAGCTGGCCATGTTGCAACATCATTTAAACACTATGCATATTGAATTCAGTAGTTTCTTCACACAGATGCTATGTTTAAAGAAAACAAATGTAGTTTAACAATTTATTTATTTGTTTTTGTTAATTCTTACAGCAAACATTTGTAGAATATAGTTAAGGATACAGAGATAAAAGATAACATTTTTATCCACAAGGAATGCTTATGGTATTCTGTGAGACAGAAAAGTAAACACACAAAATTTAAAAAGTATTATAGGTAATAAGGCAAAAAAAGGTACAATGTACAAGTTTGGATGCTAAGAAAGAAATACTACTTCTATCCGGAGGCATGGTATCTAGTACGCTCTTTGTGTATAATAACAATATATTATTATATGTTTTATATGCATTTTTATTAATAATGGTAATGGCAACTCTCCATTATTGAGCACAAATCATGTGCCAAGCATTATGCAAGTGAGCTACTATTCTGCTTCTACCTGAGAAAGGAGCAAGAAATTAGAAATAACATGTTTCTAAAAATTTCCAATCCAAATTGATCATCTCAAAATAGTATGGCACTTAGGTCAATCAATTTCTTGGGAAAAGAAGCTAACTAGATTATAAAATGGGATCCCTCCTCAAAAGGCAGCTCATTCATGATAACTCTCTAAATGGTTGTATGAAAAGATAAAAATAATTAAGTTTCATCCTGGACCTTTTGATGCTAACATTAAAAGGACAGCATTGTCTTCTCACAAAAATCCCTTATTTTTCTTCTTACCAATAGAAATCCATGATGAGTGAGCTTGTCTCATTATGGCAATTCCTATAATAACAGATAACAACTAGTAACAAATGTCTCTGAGTCAAATCTCTCTTCTGACCAGCCATACTGAATAATTTGTCATTTCAATTTAAGTGTTTGTGTGATGATGAGAATACTGAAAATGTGACTTTTAAAGCACTTGATGATACTTTGAATTCTTTAGTTTTTGTAGTTTTGGTCCAAATTTGTTTGCTTTATTTCCTCATAGGTAATGAAAATATAAATCCTTAGCCTAACACTTTTGCAAATTATTTCAAAATGAGAATAAATGAAGTCTAAATTCATTGTGTCTTACTCAAATTGTTTTTACTCATATGGTTGAGTTTCAAATTCACCAGCTGCACAACCTCATGCCAGTCATTTGTTTCCCTCAACATATGCCTGTGAAGATCAAAGGTTATAGTTCTTGCTTGTGGTTTTCAAAGTCAGTTTTGCTGAGAAAACTGATCTCTAAATCAATGCTTAGTCAGAAGCCAAATACGTAAAGCACATAACCTCAGGGTTACTTGAAGGATCTCTAATCAGTGGAGATAGGATATGATGAAATTGGACATGAATGTGTTAGATAGCATATTAGTTGTGGATGTTACACAAAGAAGCACTCTCCTCAAATAAGTTTGAGACACTCAGTGATAAGGAAGTTACACAGTTTCTTTATTGCAGTACTTCTCCAAGACCTAGTTATGCTGATGTGAATTGTTATTCTGTGGTGAAGGGTAGTATTTCTCAAAGTTAGGCAACAAATCATTGAACTTTAAGAAAGACAGAAGTGTATTTTATGTACTATTTTATCTTCAATGCTTCCCATAATATCTGGCACATAAGTGATATCAATAAACAACATTTGATTGAATTTAAATAATCCATGAGATTTGGTTTCTGTGCTAGTCACTACTGAGTAGCTTTTTGTTTTGAAGAACATAGTCTTTTCTCTCTGTTATTATTTTTGTAATGTGAGAGATGTCTACAAACACAAGAACCAACTGAGCACAAAACAAATAAACAAAAACTCTGAATCTATAACTAATTGAACCACTGAAATTTTTCATCTAAACTTTCCTTACATTCTGACATCCAGAAAAGAATTTCTGCTCAAATGGGCAAGTCATAAAGACAAATACTTTTAACTGTCTTGGTGTTTCACCCCATTTGTTTTATTATCTCTTACTTCTTTTTATGTAAGTTATATTTTGTAGACATTTGTCCACTATTAATGGACTTCTTTCTAGAGGTGGCATTATGTTGAATTTAGTTTTTTAAGGTCACTGCAAGTAAATGAAAAATTTCTGTCTATTATGGTCATTATTATTGAAAATAGATGTGGGAAAATATTCTGTTTATCATTACTGAGAAGATGTGTACCAGGTACTATTCTAAATTTAGTACATTTTTCAAAATATCTAACTTTATTTAATTTTCCTAAAATTGCATGAGATGGATATTACCGTCTTCATTTTCTCAACGAGAAAGAACTTGAGGATCTGAAACATTGAGGAATTTTTCTAAGAACAAATAGCTGTGAAAT
Source organism: Homo sapiens (assembly GCF_000001405.40). NCBI lineage: Eukaryota > Metazoa > Chordata > Mammalia > Primates > Hominidae > Homo > Homo sapiens. Next base: position 101,792 of record NT_187504.1, on the reverse strand, counting down.
TACAGAGTTGAGGTGAGGACTCAATTTTATCCTGACTCCAAATCATATACTCTTAAATAATAAATAATAGAAATTTGAAATACAAAAATCAAAGTTTCTCTCTCCTTCTGGTTTCATCATTTTATTCTGAGACATCAAGGGAAAGAAGAAAATATCTTCTATATTAAAACCCCTCACCTCAACATGAATTTGTACACTATTCCAGTTTTATTCCCAAAGTGATTGATGAGTTCAAACAGACAGAGGTGAGGGATTGGAATATTAATATCAAAGATCTCAAATGATTTTCTCTCTCCTATGACAGTATTGAATGAGCTTAAACTAATGTTAGCATCAAGATCTTCAGAACATCATTCATCGTGGGGAAAAGGGAGTCAATACTAACATCAGGATCTTCCCTCTTACTTAAAGCTTTAATTGACTTCTATGTTCCACTTATATAACCCCAAGCAGCCAACACATTTCATTTTATAATATTGCCTATGAATTTTACATATTTATTTTGTGTTATTTCATTAGTCACTGCATGCATGCCTCTGTCCATTCAACAAATGTTTATTGAGGACCTATTACATGTCAGCACTGTTGTAGGCTCTGGGATGCATCAGAGAACAAAACAAACAACAATCCCTGATGTAATGGAGCTTGCATTTTAATGAGGAAAATAGACTATAAATAAAATAAATAAGTTAAATCAATAGCATATGAGAATATTATAAGTTGGGGGAAATCACTCAGAGAAGGCAGAGAAGGAGTTTTAGGAAATAGGGGTGAATTTTAAATTGAGCATTCAGAAAAAGACTCACTGAAAAGATGAAATTTGAGCAAATGCATGAAAGAGATGCAGAAATGAGCTAGCTGGATATCTGAAGGAAAAGCATGCTAGGCAGAGGGAACAGCAAGGTGGCACATATGCTAAACTATACAGTGAGGAACAGAGTACTAGAGAGATGAATTCACAGAGCAAATAGGGGAGCAGGGTGTGTGTGTTCAAAACTGCAGACCAGGGGTTAGTAAACTTGCCTTCTAAGGGGCCAGATTATAAACAGGTTCAGCTTTGCAGGCCACATTATCTCTGTCACAACTACTCAACTTTGGCATTATAATACAAAAGCCATCAATGTATGTAAACCAATACATGTGACTGTTCTAATCCAACTTGATTTTAAAAAGCAAGCAGTGGTCAAATTTGCTACAATTTCCCATTGCAGACCATTGAGAAAATTTTGGCTTTTGCTTTAATTGAGATGAAGTGTAGGGTAGTTTTAAAAAACTGTGGCATATTCTTTAGATTTCTTCCCATTGAGAGGTGTCTCTACATCTTGACTTCATTTTGGCTGGACTTATGACTTCTTCTACACATGTACTATGGTAGAAATGATGCTATGCAACTTCTAAGGCTAGTTAATAAAAAAGCATACAACTTCCACCGTTTTCTTTGTATCCTCCCTCTAGAGAAAACCAACTACCATGTAAGTAATATGGCTACCTTGAGGCCACTGAATTGGAGAAACCACATTGAAAAATCTCACAAGTAGGACAGGAGATGCCAGATAAATCCCAATTGTTCCAGCCTTCACGTAGTTGTGTCATGAAAACCTGTGATTGTGGAAGGCATAAAGATGACCTCAGCCTCAACCTCCATCTGACTACAATCACATGACAGATCCCAAACCAAAACAACCCAGCTGAGTCTAGTTGGTTCCCAGGACCTTGAGCGGAGTGATACATATTTTTTTAAGCCAGTCTGTTTTGGAATTGTGTCTTACACATATCCAGGTAACTGAAATCAGCACTCTTTAAAGTATTTTGAGAAAAGGAATTATGCAGCATTAATCTTGTGTTTTAACAGGATTTCTCTGGCTTTGTGGGTGGCAAAAAGGAATCAGGGAGACTATTTTAATAATCCAGACAAAAGAGTTTAGTGGGTTGGACCAGAATCATAGCAGGGAGGACCAAGAAAAAGGGTAGGATTTTGTTTAACTGTATTTTGAAGGTACAGGTAACTGCTTTACCTGATAAACTAGATGTAGAATACAAGACAAAGGGTCGAATGACAATGTCTCCAAGAGTTTTTAGCATGTGGAAGAATGTAGCTGTCATTTACTGAGTTGGAAAAATATGAGAGATGCTGATTTGAAGGTGAAAAATCAGGACCTGAGTTTTGGACTTGTTATTTTCTACATGGTTATTCAACATCCAAATGGAGAAAGCAAAGGGGTAAATATGTATGAGTGTAGCTTTTCTAGCAGAGGTCTTATCTGGAGATATATGTGGATGCTGCCAGCCTCTAGAAAATACTGAGTTACTAAAGCACAAATGGGGAGGAGAAATACCAAGAGCTTAAGGCACTTACATTTTAAGAGGGCAGGGAGATAAGGTAGGATTATCAAGACTGTTCAAGAGAAAAGGGCCAGAGAGGTAGGAGAAAAGTTAAGAGAAAGTGATGTCCAAGGAAGCCAAGTGGAAACAGTACTGATGCATGAACCAAGGCAGGCATTTATTATGAAACTGAGCATCCAGAAAACAGGGTGAATATTTAATACCTGTTTTGTCTTCATTTATGAAATCGTGACAAACAGCGTTCATATCTTGAGTCCATTCTATATGCAAGTACAAGTAAAACCTTAGCAAGTATTCTCAATTACAAGTGCAATTTTAGATATTGATGGAGGATGGGCAAGAATTTGGAACAATTTTCTAGGGATGATATAAAATTGTAATAAATAAAAAGTGTTACTTTTTGGCTGTGTCCCCACCCAAACCTCCTCTTGAATTGTAATACCGGTATTCCTCACGTGTGGATGGAGGAATCTGATGGGAGACGATTGGATCGTAGAGGTGGTTTCCCCTATGCTGTTCTCGTGATAGTGAGTGAATTATCATGAGATCTGATGGCTTTATAAGGCAGTTTTCCCTGCTTTTGCTCATGTTCCCTCACCTGCCACCATGTAAGATGTGCTTGCTTTCTCCTTCTGCCATGATTGTAAGTTTCCTGAGGCCTCCCCAGCCATGTGGAACTGTGAGTCAATTAAACCTCTTTTCTTTGTAAATTATCCAGTCTTGGGTAGTATCGTTTAGCAGTGTGAGAATGGACTAAAACAAGAAGAAAGATTGAGACAACGTGCTTTGGCCTCTTCTCTGTTTGTTGAACATCCTGGGGAATCCATCACCATAATATCTCTTCTGTTTTAACTGAAGACTTTTGTGCAGGACACTGAATTCACACCAATCTTTATGTTCATATTGACAACTCAGTGATTAATAGGGATACCCTATTTGTTTCATATGCTACATGGTCACAGATTTAGATATGTAAGCTGCAGAAATGAATTGGTTCAACCTTTCTGTAAACTGGGGCTTTATACAAGGAACAATTAAAATTTCTTTAGTTGGCTTTTCTCTGCACTATTTCCCCATTTGTCTATCTAAATCTAAACACAGATGCCATAGTCCTGTTATTTTACCCTTAACTGTGGTGATGCAAAATATAATGCAAAAGCTCAAAAACGATGCACAATAATAGACACGTGCAACTAGCTTTGTAAATAAAAGTTTGCAGTGAGGTCCCCAAAGACTGGAAACTAAATGTTTCCTTTTCAAATTAACAGCTAATATGTCTCACGGTTAGAATGTAAAACTTGCTTCATTACTCATTTAACGACCTGGGGAATTAAAACCATCCTTTCCTCTTCCAATATTTGAAAGATAATTTTAAATTTTAAATTTCATGTTTTTCTCATTATTAAGGATTGATAATGGACCCAATGCATGGGAAAACTAATCTAACAAAAAATACAGTGGAGGTGTCAAGGCAGTGTGTATTAATGGATGACACTTAAATGAGCTGCTAACAGGGCTCAGAAAGAACCTGACAGGCACCATGATTGATCTATTATTGGCCTAGGTGACATTATTGGATTTCAGAAATTTGAATTAAAAATTTCATCTAAAGAAAAAGAATAGGTTTGAATTCAGGCAGTTAATTTAGTATAGTCATTATTTTAAAAAACTTGCTGAAGTGAGGCAGTGTCTACACAGTCAAGTAGGCTTTGGTAAATATTTTAAATATTGTGATTTTTACCTGCAATATATTTGTATACTGCAATGCCTTTGTACACCGCAGTTATATTTTAAATATACCATTTTAAGTTATTTTCGTTTGTGTGAATAATGTTGAATAGCTGATTTCGTAGTTAACCTGGCCAGAGGCTTTTTTTTAATTGAACTTTTCAAAAAATCATCTTCTGGTTTTGTTGATTTCTCTATTGATTTCCCATTTTTATTTCATTTATTTCTACTCTAATTTTAATTTATTTTCCTATGCTTACTTTGGATTTAATTTGCTTTTGTTCTACTTTTCTAAGGTGATTAATTTTTTTTAAATTTAATAAGTTTTTGGGAAACAGGTGGTGTTTGGCTACATGAATAAATTCTTTATTTGCGATTTCTGAGATTTTGGTGAACCGATCACCCAAGCAGCGTACACTGTACCCAATATCTATGTAGTGTTTTATCCCTCAACCTCCTCCCACCCTTTCCCCCAAAATCCCCAAAGTCTATTATATCATTCTTATGCCTTTGCATCATCATAGCTTAGCTCCCACTTATGAGTAAGAACATATGATGTTTGGTTTTCCATTCCTGAGTTGCTTCACTTAGAATAATGGTATCCAATTCCAAGGTTGCTCAAATGTCATTATTTTGTTCCTTTGTATGGCTGAGTAGTATTTCATTTTATATATATATATATATATTATATATATATATATATTTTATATATATACACACATATATCTATATCACATTTTCTTTATCCACTGTTGATTGATGGCATTTGGGCTGGTTCCATATGTTTGCAATTGTGAATTGTGCTGCTATAAACATGTGTGTACAAGTATCTTTTTTGAATAATGACTTATTTACCTATGGGTAGTTACCCAGGAGTAGGATTGCTGAATCAAATGATAGATCTACTTTCAATTCTTTAAGGAATCTCCACACAGTTTCCCACAGTGGTTGTACTAGTTTACATCCCCACTAACAATGTAAAAGTGTTCCCTTTTCATCAGATCCATGCCAATATCTATTTTTTTGATTTTTTGATAACGACAATTCTTGCAGAAGTGAGGTGGTATCGCATTGTGATTCTGATTTGCATTTCCCTGATAATCGGTGATGTTGAGCATTTTTCATGTGTTTGTTGACCATTTGTATATCTTCTTTTGAGAATTATCTATTCATGTCCTTAGCCCACTTTTTGATGCAGTCGTTTGGTTTTTTTCTTGCTGATTTGCTTGAGTGCCTTGTAGATTCTGAATATTAGTCCTTTGACTGTTGCACAGGTTGTGAATATTTTCTCCCACTCTGTGGGTTGCCTGTTTACTCTGCTGATCATTTCTTCTGCTGTGCAGAAGCTTTTTAGTTTAATCAATTCCCATCTATTCATCTTTGTTTTTGTTGTGTTTGCTTTTGGGTTCTTGGTCATGAAGTGTTTTCTTAAGTCAATGTCTAGAAGGGTTTTTCCAATGTTATCTTCTAGAATTTTTATGGTTTCAAGTCTTAGATTTAAATCTTTGATCCATCTTAATTTGATTTTTTTATAAGGTGAGAGGTGAGGATTCAGTTTCATTCTTCTGCATGTGGCTTGCCAATTATCCCGGCAACCATTTGTTGAATAGGGTTCCTTTCCCTATTTTATGTTTTTGTTTGCTTTGTCAAAGATCAGTTGACTGTAAGTATTTGGGTTTATTTCTGGGTTCTCTGTTCTGTTCCATTGGTCTATATGCCTGTTTTTATACCAGTACCATGCCATTTTGGTGACTATGGCCTGATAGTATAGTTTGAAATTAGGTAATGTAATGTCTCCAGATTTGTTCTTTTTCCTTAGTCTTGCTTTGGCCCTGTGGGCTTTTTTTGGTTCCATATGAATTTTAGGATTGTTTTTTCTAATTCTGTGAAGAATGATGGTGGTATTTTGATGGGAATTGCATTAAATTTGTGGATTGCTTTTGGCAGTATGGTCATTTTCACAATATTGATTCTACCCATCCATGAGCGTGGTATGTATTTCCATTTGTTTGTGTTGTCTATGATTTCTGTCAGCAGTGTTTTGCAGTTTTCCTTATAGAGGTCTATCACCTTCTTGGTTAAGTATATTACTAAATTTTTTTGTTGTTATATTTTTGTGGCATTTTGCAGCTATTGTTAAAGGGGTTGAGTTCTTGATTTGATTCTCAGCTTGGTTGCTGTTGGTGTATATCAGCGCTACTGATTTGCATACATTAATTTTGTATCCTGAAACTTTACTGAATTCATTTACCAGTTTTAGAAGCATTTTGGATGAGTCTTTAAGGTTTTCTAGGTATAAGATCATATCATCAGCAAACAAGAACACTTTGACTTCCTTTTTACTGATTTGGATGCCCTTTATTTTTCTTTTGTCTGATTGCTCTGGCTAGGACTTCCAGTACTATGCTGAATACAAGTGGTGAAAGTGGGCATCTTTGTCTTATTCCAGTTCTCACGGGGAATGCTTTCAACTTTTCCCCATTAAGTATAATGTTGGCTGTGAGTTTGTTATAGATAAGGTGATTAATTTTAAATATTTCTTTTCTAATACATGTATTCAACGCTATAAATTTCTCTCTAAGCACTGCTTTCGACACATCCCACAAACTTTGTAAGTTGTATTTTCATTTTCATTTAGTTCAAAATACTTATTTTGTTGTTGTTAAGATTTCTTCTTTCATCCACGTGTTCTTTAATAGTGTGTTCTTTAATCATAAGACAGTCAGTAGATGTCAATTATATCCAGTTAATTGATGGTGCTGTGTTTACTCTTTTTTCTGTCTGCTTGATATGTCCATTTTTGATAGAGGGGTGTTGAAGTCACCAACTATGATAGTGGACTCATGTTTTTCTCCTTGCAGTTCTCTTAGATGTTGCCTCATGTTTTTTGATGCTCCATTGTTAGGCATCTATACATTAAGGATTGTCATGTCTTTATAAGGAACTGACCCCTTTATCATTATGTAATACCCATCTTTAGCCCTGATAACTTTCTTTGCTCTGAAGTCTAGTCTGTTTAAAATTAATATAGCTGTTCCCATTTTAAAAATTAGCATCAGCATAGTATATCTTTCAGTATGTGCTCTTATAGTTAATGCATGTTTCTTGTAGGCAACATACAATTGGGAAGGTTTTTTTAAATCCATTTCTACAATCTTTGCCTTTTAACTGATATATTTAGAACATTGATGGTTAAAGTAACTAATGATTTAGTTGAATTAATACCTATCATATTTGTTAGTTTTATATTTGTTTCCCTTTTTCTTTGTTCTTAGTTTGTCTTCCACTATTTTACTGCCTTTCATGGCTTTAATTGAGCATTTAGTATGATTCCATTTTCTCTCCCTTATTATTAGCCTATCAGTTATGCTTCTTTTTTACATTTCTCAGTGGTTGCACTAGAGTTTCCAAGATACATTTATAACTAATTAAAATCCATGTTCAAACAACATTATACCACTTCACAGGTAGTGTGTGAGTACCTTAAAATAATAAAATAATCATAATTCTTCCCTCCTTGTCACTTTTATCATTGCTATCATTCACTAATATATAAGCATATATAAGTGCTTATATATAAGCACTCATAAAATAACATAATAGTAGCATCAATATATTTTATTACATAATCACATGTGTAATAAAATGTATATATGTAATATATATGAAATTTATATATATATTATATATAAAAGCATATGTAATGAAATACATTGTTGCTACTATTTTGAGCACACTTCTATTTGTATATCAATTAAGAATAAGAAAAATATTTTTTCTTTGTGACCCCAGGTGTCATGGATAAAAGATCTATGGATATAATTTTCAAGTCAGTGCAAGGGTATTTTTTCTAACACCGAAGTGATATTAGAGTGGACTGAATTCTCTTGGGAAGTATTTAACTCCTAAGTCTGGAGCTATTCCAGTGCTTGATAAACCACTCAGTGAAGATACTCTCAAATGAGTTCTTAGTATTTTTGTGTTAAACAGAAAATTTTCCAGTGTTAGGATAATTGGCAAGGATGGAAAGACTCAAAATTGCACTAATTGTATTATTCATAAAGAATAATGGAGTCACCACCAAAGAATAACACAGTGTCTGAAAGGCATCCATGGATATCACTGTCTTCATTTGTTGAGTCTTCATCATCAGGTGACTGTTTTAATAGAGCTATTTACTTCCTTGAATGCACTCTCAGTTATTCACTCAGATATGTTATCATAAGTTCAGATAAATAAAATATTTTCAGAATCATCTTGAAATTTCACTATACCTATTATTTGCAACAAATGTTATTCCAGTTTCCATTTGACTCTTAGTTTAATGTTCTGTGTAACAGCCATTGCTGTTAATATACGTATTTGGGGCAAAAAATACAATATCCTTTGTGATATCCCTTGGATTGTAATATCTGACCTTTGACCACACATGTTTTAATTATGCAACTAATTATCATGTAATAAAGGAAATACAACTTCAAGATGGTAGCTTTGTATTTTATATTTAAAATCTTAGAAAGTTTTATTATTGATAAATAAAAGGATTCAAAATAATCCTGAAGTATAATGATGTTAAACATATAGTTTAGAACTAGATTAACAAAATAATACCATTTGCATAGGTAGGGTGTCTGATATGCTTCTAAATTAATTTGATTTGTATATTCTTGAAAACTCCCACAAGTTATTTGCATGTACTAAATAGATGTTGCTTTTTATTCTGAAAGAATGAGAATGAAGATAAAACATAGGTTCATACATTGGTCAACATGCAGAAAAACCAATATTGATTATTTTTACAGTTCATTACATCATTAATATATTGGGATTTCCCTTTTACCACAGACAATAATATATTTCACTATGCATGTTTATTGAAATATGTTTTAAATAGATTTGCATAACAAAGTATATATTAGTTCAAGCAGATGTTTAGGGTCATAACCGTCAAGAAATTTGAGCTGCCCAGGCGTGTGGCAAAATCAGAGTTACTAATTATTGTTTTATTGTTTCTGCATTTCAGTCATAGAGTCTGGCAGATTGTAAGTATACTGTTATTCTGTAGGAGGTATAAAATGTTCATGATGTTATCTTGGGCGAGGCCTCCAGCCTGGAAGATCAGCATAACTCTGAGTTGCTAATCTGGCCAGTTCAGTCTTTGTTTTTATAGAGAAAATCAAAGATATATCAATTGATGCTAGTTGCAAATTACAGAAATGTTGTGATTAGTATTTTTGAAAGTCTTATATTAACAACACTTCATTAGTTGAAAATTCTTCTCCTAGGCTCCAGTTACTATCTTCCCAGCTTAAATCCAGAAAACAACAGCAACGTCTTTGCCAGCTACCTCACATTTGGAGAATTGAACACTGTAGCTCAGCTTGAGGAAAGATGATAGCATTGGAACTGATTTCACTTTCTGAGCCTTTTGTTGAGGGTATTTACTAATAATACTTCTGAACTGTAAAATCTGTGGGTTAGCATCCCCCTCTGATGCAAGAAACCTGGAGTTTACTGGCTAGCTAGCAAATGCAAAATTAGACAATTTTGCTGGGAGCTAAATATACACGGTTAAGTGTGTTTGACTATTATATGGCTGCAGAAAGTTCCACATGCCAATTTATTTGCTTATGGTGTTTTGGAAAATGGAATCCTTTAGAGAAAGAGAAAGAGAACACACCAACTTTCAACTCCATTGATTTTAATTAAGCTAACTGTAGATTGGCAAGCACTGCAAAATTCACAAACCTGATGAGACAAAAGAGATTACACAATAGGTACAGGAACTAATGGCTTATCCTTAATTATCTGAAACTGACAAGACAATGACCTGTCAAATTAACGGAAATTATCTTCCATAAAGCCTTGGTGGAATGGCAGCATAATATTGAACTTTAGAAGAAAAAGAAGCTTGGACCAAAAAGAAGTTCCTTGCCCTTAAAAATGAGCACACCATAATAGACACAGACATGGGAAGATGCTCATGATGTATTAAGTAGAAAAAAAAATAGAAAATAATATAGTCAGCCTGTTCCCATTTTGGTAAAATTGAAATACACCAAACCACTTTCACCTGTTCTGCCAACATAGGATGTGTACCTGGTCACTCCTGTTTTGTTTCATTGTATATATATATTTTTTTTTTCAATTAATCATTGGAAAACCCCATTTTCTCTTTTGGGAAAAAAATCTAATACTGTCTCTAGGTCCTTCTGCCAAACCCAGTGAGACAGATTCCAGATGCCAATGCCATTGCTTATCAATATCACATGGTATCACTGTCAGATGCACATCATGAAAAACTTCATGCCTGTCTGCTGCTACTGGGATACCCTTGCTGGTAGAAGCCTGTGCCAGAGTGGTGCTCATGAGATAACAAGGATATAGCCCATTTTACATCATACTCCCATGTTCCACTAAACAATCATGGAGCTAGTAAGGCTGTGTTTGGATGAGTTATTGCAAGCTAATTTTAGTAGGCCAAATAATGCATACAGTAAACTAGAGAATATTTGCTCGAAAATATTATGGTGCCTTGTCCTTATTTTAGACTCACCTCGTAAGTAGTAACTAAAACAATAAATGAATGAATGAACGAGTAAATGAATGAATGCAAGCTGTCTGGACCAGCTTGGTAATAAATATCCTGAAGTTCATCTTTCCATTTTTAAAAAGTCACCCAACTTATGTTTGATAAATATAAACAAACTTTTTTATGTCATCATTTTAAATGCTTTAGGAAATGCTTTCATTTCCTTTCGTTTTGTCCGATGTTCATATCTTTCATGCTTTGCTTATCTTTTGGAAGTGTCTGTCCAACTAGAGCTCTTCCAAAAAGATATTTGGCAAGGACATCTTCTGCTCCCAGGTATAAAAGTGAGTCAAACACCATTATTATTTTTATCCTTCAGGAAAAATCTTCTGTGAAAATCCTGATTGCATTTCCTTTTATAAGATTCTGTCTCATATTTATTAACTGAAAGATTTGGGTCAAATCAGCCACATGTACTCTCTGTAGTTTATCAGCAGAAGGATTCTTTGAAAGATTAAATTGCACAGGGCTGACTTCTTAAGTGCAGTGAAAAAAATAAAAAAGCCACTTGGTAAAAATGCTAAAACTGTTATTTTCTTGGGAAATGTAGAATTTTAGCAAATTAACATGTTACATTTAAACCCATTTGTACTTGAGACTAGATTGTTTATAGATCCTTGAAAGAACCATTATTTGTGTGTACAGATAAGCAAATTGAAAAACATAATTACTCATAACCGTGTTTTATGTTTTCCAGAATCTTAAAGAAGTCAAAAATATCAGTGAAATCAAGCATGGAGAAATATTGCATTATTAATAGTATACTGAAAAGTAAATAAGATTTTTGAATTTCTTTATAAATCATTTTTAGTTATCATAATCCTTCAAGCATCAATTCACTGTGTTTTAAAATGCACATTTATTATCTCTGTATGTGATTTTTTACATCTTTCATTTTTTTCTCTATATTTATGTTTGAGGAAGAACGTGGAATATAGAATGCAGACATGATGTCTCTGAAATACATGTCTCCTCTCCCAGAGACATAGTCACATTTTATAGTTAAATTTTGGTTTGAAAGTTCTAATTTCTCTTCCATTAACCTTTCTGATTCCAAATGCTACCAGTCTCTGTGGCCAAGAGAATGATACACCATCTTTCTCCATCCCCAACAACAGAAAGCTCAGTTTCATCTTCCATTTTCCCCAGCTTTTCCACCTCATACCACTCAGAAAGTCCTGGATTTTATTTTCTTTTGAGTTTCTTGGATAGGTTTACCCTTTCTCCATTTCTGATTCCTGAGTCCTTTCATTAGTCTCTTATTATTATTATTATTATTATACTTTAAGTTCTAGGGTACATGTGCACCACGTGCAGGTTTGTTACATATGTATAAATGTACCATGTTCGTGTGCTGCACCCATTAACTCGTCATTTATATTAGATATTTCTCCTAATACTCTCCCTCCCCCCTCCTCTGACTCAACTACAGATCCCAGTGTGTGATGTTCCCCTTCCTGTGTCTAAGTGTTCTTATTGTTCAATTCCCACCTATGAGTGAGAACATGCAGTGTTTTGTTTTTTGTTCTTGCGATAGTTTGCTCAGAATGATGGTTTCCAGCTTCATCCATGTTCCTACAAAGGACATGAACTCATCCTTTTTTATGGCTGCATAGTATTCCATGGTGTATATGTGCCACATTTTCTTAATCCAGTCTATCATTGATGGACATTTGGGTTGGTTCCAAGTCTTTGCTATTGTGAATAAACATACATGTGCATGTGCCTTTATAGCAGTATGATTTATAATCCTTTGGGTATATACCCAGTAATGGGATGGATGGGTCAAATGGTATTTCTAGTTCTAGATCCTTGAGGAATCGCCACACTGTCTTCCACAATGGTTGAACTAGTTTACAGTCCCACCAACAGTGTAAAAGTGTTCCTATTTCTCCACATCCTCTCCAGCACCTCTTGTTTCCTGACTTTTTAATGATCGCCATTCTAACTGGTGTGAGATGGTATCTTATTGTGGTTTTGATTTGCATTTCTCTGATGGCCAGTGATGATGAGCATTTTTTCATATGTCTGTTGGCTGCATAAATGTCTTCTTTTGAGAAGTGTCTATTCATAGCCTTCACCCACTTTTTGATGGGGTTGTTTGTTTTTTTCTTGTAAATTTGTTTGAGTTCTTTGTAGATTCTGGATATTAGCCCTTTGTCAGATGAGTAGATTGCAAAAATTTTCTCCCATTCTGTAGGTTGCCTGTTTGCTCTGATGGTAGTTTCTTTTGCTGTGCAGAAGCTCTTTAGTTTAATTAGATCCTATTTGTAAATTTTGGCTTTTGTTGCCATTGCTTTTGGTGTTTTAGGCATGAAGTCCTTGCCCATTCCTATGTCCTGAATGGTATTGCCTAGGTTTTCTTCTAGGGTTTTTGTGGTTTTAGGTCTAACATGTAAGTCTTTAATCCACCTTGAATTAATTTTTGTATAAGGTGTAAGGAAGGGATCCAGTTTCAGCTTTCTACATATGGCTAGCCAGTTTTCCCAGCACCATTTATTAAATAGGGAATCCTTTCCCCATTTCTTGTTTTTGTCAGGTTTGTCAAAGATCAGATGGTTGTAGATGTGTGGTATTATTTCTGAGGGCTCTGTTCTGTTCCATTGGTCTATATCTCTGTTTTGGTACCAGTACCATGCTGTTTTGGTTACTGTAGCCTTGTAGTATAGTTTGAAGTCAGGTAGTGTGATGCCTCCAGCTTTGTTCTTTTGGCTTAGGATTGACTTGGCAATGTGGGCTCTTTTTTGGTTCCATATGAACTTTAAAGTAGTTTTTTCCAATTCTGTGAAGAAAGTCATTGGTAGCTTGAAAGGGGATGGCATTGAACCTACAAATTACCTTGGGCAGTATGGCCATTTTCATGATATTGATTCTTCCTATCCATGAGCATGGAATGTTCTTCCATTTGTTTGTGGCTTCTTTTATTTCATTGAGCAGTGGTTTGTAGTTCTCCTTGAAGAGGTCCTTCACATCCCTTGTAAGTTGGATTCCTAGGTATTTTATTCTCTTTGAAGCAATTGTGAATGGGTGTTCACTTATGCTTTGGCTATCAGTTTGTTATTGGTGTATAAAAATACTTGTGATTTTTGCACATTGATTTTGTATCCTGAGACTTTGCTGAAGTTGCTTATCAGCTTAAGGAGATTTTGGGCTGAGACAATGCGGTTTTCTAAATATACAGTCATGTCATCTGCAAACAGGGACAATTTGACTTCCTCTTTTCCTAATTGAATACCCTTTATGTCTTTCTCCTGCCTGATTGTCCTGGCCAGAACTTCCAACACTATGTAGAATAGGAGTGGTGAGAGAGGGCATCCCTGTCTTGTGCCAGTTTTCACCGGGATTGCTTCCAGTTTTTGCCCATTCAGTATGATATTGGCTGTGGGTTTGTCATAAATAGCTCTTACTATTTCGAATTACGTCCCATTAATACCTAATTTATTGAGAGTTTTTAGCATGAAGCCTTTTTGAATTTTGTCAAAGGCCTTTTCTGCATCTATTGAGATAATCATGTGGTTTTTGTCTTTGGTTCTATTTATATGCTGGATTATGTTTATTGATTTGCGTATGTTGACCCAGCCTTGCATCCCAGGAATGAAGCCCACTTGATCATGGTGGATAAGCTTTTTGATGTGCTGCTGGATTTGGTTTGCCAGTATTTTATTGAGGATTTTGCATCGATGTTCATCAGGGATATTGGTCTAAAATTCTCTTTTTTTGTTGTGTCTCTGCCAGGCTTTGGTATCAGGATGATGCTGGCCTCATAAAATGAGTCCGGGAGGATTCCCTCTCCTTCTATTGATTGGAATAGTTTCAGAAGGAATGGTACCAGCTCCTCCTTGTACCTCTGGTAGAATTCAGCTGTGAATCCGTCTGGTCCTGGACTTTTTTTGGTTGGTAGGCTATTAATTATTGCCCCAATTTCAGAGCCTTTTGTAGGTCTATCCAGGGATTCAACTTCTTCCTGGTTTAGTCTTGGGAGGGTGTACGTTTCCAGGAATTTATCCATTTCTTCTAGATTTTCTAGTTTATTTGCATAGAGGTGTTTATAGTATTCTCTGATGGTAGTTTGTATTTCTGCGGGATTGGTGGTGATGTCCCCTTTATCATTTTTTATTGCGTCTATTTGATTCTTCTCTCTCTTCTTCTTTATTAGTCTTGCTAGTGGTCTATCAATTTTGTTGATCTTTTCAAAAAACCAGCTCCTGGATTCATTGATTTTTTGAAGGGTTTTTTTGTGTCTCTATCTCCTTCCGTTCTGCTCTTAGTTATTTCTTGCCTTCTGCTAGCTTTTGAATGTGTTTACTCTTGCTTCTCTAGTTCTTTTAACTGTGATGTTAGGGTGTCAATTTTAGATCTTTCCTGCTTTCTCTTGTGGGCATTTAGTGCTATACATTTCCCTCTACACACTTCTTTAAATATGTCCCAGAGATTCTAGTATGTTGTGTCTTTGTTCTCATTGGTTTCAAAGAACATCTTTATTTCTGCCTTCATTTTGTTATGTACCCAGTAGTCATTCAGGAGCAGGTTTTTCAGTTTCCATGTAGTTGAGCAGTTTTGAGTGAGTTTCTTAATCCTGAGTTCTAGTTTGATTGCACTGTGGTCTGAGAGACAGTTTGTTATAATTTCTGTTCTTTTACATTTGCTGAGGAATGTTTTACTTCCAACTATGTGGTCAATTTTGGAATAAGTGCGATGTGGTGCTGAGAAGAATGTATATTCTGTTGATTTGGGTGGAGAGTTCTGTAGATGTCTATTAGGTCTGCTTGGTTCAGAGCTGAGTTCAATTCCTGGATATCCTTGTTAACTTTCTGTCTCATTAGTCTCTTAACATTCATACCGTCTCCCTTACCCCCCGTACTCCAAGCATAGATACTATTATCCAACTTTTAAGTATGAAAAAACTGAAGGCTGCTTAGGGCTTAAAGGTTTAAATTAAGGCTATGATTTGGATCCAGATCTGCCTCTCTCTAAAGCATGAGCTTTTCAACATTACAATAGGCTGTCTCACTTTTCACTGATATCAGAGTAACCTTTTTTAAACCATGATGCTGAACATATTCCATTTCCCTGCATAAGTGGATTGCAACTAGTGTAGGTTTAAGTACAAATTTCTTACCAGGACATCAAAGTTTTTAATTACCTGACTCTCACCTGCATTTCTGGCCTGTTATATTTTCAATCATTTTCTCAATGACTTCTTATATTGCAGGTTAATCAGGAATATATAATCAGCCTGCCTAGAACATGACTCCATGTCTTGCCTATGTTAGACTCTCAGCCTGGAAACCCTTCTACTTAAAACTTGTCTTCTTATCTCACACCCTTAGCTAGGAAAAGTTTTCTAACTTCTAGGTAGAGCTGGTTCCTCCCTCTTCCAGGCATCTTCACACCTTGTACTAGGCAATGAACTCTTCAACAAGAGGGCCCACTTGTTTTCTACTTTTTTATTCTGCAGAATCTATTGTAGAGCCTTGCTCATACTGGGACTAAAAATACATTTAAAAAATAAAATTAAGCACACTTATTTTCCATAGGAATTTTTTTTTTTTTTATTCTTTTTTTTTTTTTATTATACTCTAAGTTTTAGGGTACATGTGCACATTGTGCAGGTTAGTTACATATGTATACATGTGCCATGCTGGTGCGCTGCACCCACTAATGTGTCATCTAGCATTAGGTATATCTCCCAATGCTATCCCTCCCCCCTCCCCCGACCCCACCACAGTCCCCAGAGTGTGATATTCCCCTTCCTGTGTCCATGTGATCTCATTGTTCAATTCCCACCTATGAGTGAGAATATGCGGTGTTTGGTTTTTTGTTCTTGCGATAGTTTACTGAGAATGATGTTTTCCAATTTCATCCATGTCCCTACAAAGGATATGAACTCATCATTTTTTATGGCTGCATAGTATTCCATGGTGTATATGTCCATAGGAATTTTTGAGTCATTGGTTCCCTGAATAGCCCTACTCCCCTTTTCTATTTTGAAGAAGTATGTATAGTTTTCCAAAACGTTCTTGTTTGACCAATGCGATCAGTTCATTTAGTCAAAGCATTTGCACTGTTTCTAACTTTTCTACCTTAAGAAACATACTTTTGCTCAAGCAGAGCGTTTAGTGCATGTCTCCTTTAATGGATTCCTGCTAAGAGCTAACAACTGGATTATTGAATCTTCTCCTTCAAAACCACTCTTTGACTTATTACAAGATTGTTTTTCTCAGTTACATTTGATTCTTTATAGGTACCATTTTCTGCCCCTGGCCTTGTTTAAAATTGAATTGTGATGGCTCTTCCCCTGACTTATCTTTTAAAGCTATTGTCACTTACTTCATTTTTTTTAGGCTTTTACTGGAAAATTTCTGGCTGTAACACTTTCTTATAATTTCTATTTCTATTCCAGGTTTCTGCTTAAGCACAGTGTTGCATTAATAAGGGTCAGGCGAAGTTTCAACAGCATTTAATCTTACACTTTAAATTTTTGTTCACATTTTATGGTCTTGACACATTTACTGTAATAAAGGGAAATCATTAATTCACTAAGAAACGTGTAAAAACTATAGTTTTGCTTTTGATTAATTTCCACATTCATCATTACTTTGCTACTGATTTACCATGCATTGAAGAGACTGAGGGTGCAAAACATGATTTTTTTTCTTCGTTTAAAAAGAACTGTCTTAGAAACCAAATGAGGCTAAAAATGTACCTGTGTTTTGGCTGTCAAAGGGGAGAAGATTACTTCTTCTTGAACGTGTTTTCTGTCTCATCCTCATGTTTCCTTTATTTATACCAAATACACCATACCATTCTCTACTTTTTTTTCTTGAAGTAAAAGAAAGCTATAGCCATAGCCACTGTCATATTAACTCTGAAAATAGGTTTTTTCCTTTATGAAGAGGAAAGAAATCTTAATTTACCTTTGGCTTATGGAAGAAAATCATCTAAAATTTTATAATGCCAGCTACATCTTGAACATTTTTGAATACTGTTGTTATGAAACAAAATCATACTTGAGCCTAGAGGTCAAATATCTCACCAATATTGGCAGCAGGCAATTGAATAACGATTTTTTGTTTTTGTTTTGCACTTGTATAATTGATACTAAAGTGGTAGTGACTACTAAAATTAATGAAAAGGAATCTATAGTTTTTACACTATAACTAGGCCAAGTTGGGAAGGTATCAAAATTATAGTTATAAAATGAGACTGAAAGTTTAAAACAGATCACTACCTATGACGCACACAATTGCAAGCCCTTTTTCATAGATCAGTCAATGAAGTCTTTGCAAAAACCCAAAGAGGGTTATTTTGGATTTTAGGGGAGGAGAAAACTGAGACTCATAAAGTTAAATAAACTCTCCTCCTTTATTGTATTGTTTTGTTAAATATAGGTTTTTATTCTTATTTTTAACAACACAAATATTTGTAGAAAAATTTAGAGAATGCAGAATAAGCAAGAGAAAAATAAACACAATGTATTGCTATCCCCCCAGTTTTCTTAACTGTGTATTACACATTTTTGTGTAACCTGCTTTTTTGCCTTAAAATGTCATGATCTTTTCCAACCATAAGTATGTTATTTTTCATATGTCTATATGGATATGATGGCTATAATATTCTCCTCAGTGTTTTTGAGGGTCTTTGAGAGCACTCAGTAAGTAGCACCTGTCTTTTCTACCCAATTCAATTGAAAAATAGACAGCAAGTGGAGAACCAGAATATCACCCTATTCCTAATTAAGGCACAATTGGCAGGCACAGCTTACAATGAGAGAAACAATTGGCTTGCTCACTGCATCCCTTGGAAGTTTGTTGAGCTGTGAGAAGAACCCACTTCAGGGAAAGCTTAAAGCCAGGGAGCAGGAAATCCCTGCACTGCACTGGCCCTGGCTAGAGGAAAGAAGAAAAGAAGCAACTTCTCCAAGCAGAGAAACTTTGATCATGTCTACCCAATACCTGTAACACACCAACCACTGTAAAGCTGGTGGTCCTCTGCTCTGGGGATGAGGAAGTGGTGGAAAAGGAAGCCAGGCAGACTGCGGAGGATGCCACAAAACAAAGGTGAGGAAGGAGGCATTCCCCTGTGATATATGAAGTTCCTATTACTCATTTAATCAATCCCCTATTGTTGTACACTTAGGTTGTTTCAAAACAACAATGAAATTAAATGCATTTGTAATTAATTATTGTGTACATTATAGAAATTTTCTTTAAATGAAACTATAAGTAAAATTTCTGGGACAATGTTTTTAACATGTTTAAAGCTTTTGATGCAATTTACCACATTTTACTCAGGAAAATTTTGTCAATTTACATTACCACTCAGTAATGTATAACCTCATTTATTTTTAATAAGTGTATTTGAACCCAGTAAAGTTGGCTCTGGAGCCCAAATTATTAATCTTAACAAAATCCTGCTAGTTACTAAATAAAAAAAAAACTGTAAAATTCATGAAATTTCTCTGACTCCATAAACTTTCAATGGATAATTTCTATATCTGTCCTTACTGCCTGGGAGTGGAGAATTATAATGGTCATGAAAGTGGCCTTTGGCCTTGGACTCCTCCTGGCTTTGAATTCTGAATTTGCCCTTAACTAGAGCTGTGGCAAGTTATCATAGATGTTCAAGCAACTCTGCTCCTCACAGTGCTAATAAAGACAAGCGCAAGACTGGGTGATTCATAAAGAAAGAGGTTTAATTAACTAACTGTTTGGCATGACTGGGGAGGCCTCAGGAAACTTACAATCATGGCAGAAGGTGAAGTAAGCACATCCTTATTCACATGGCAGCGGCAAGGAGAAGTGCCGAGCAAAAGGGGAAAAAGCACCACTCACTATCAGGAGAACAAGACATGGGAAACCTCCCCCCAATTCAATTATCTCCCACTGGGTTCCTCCCATGACATGTGTGGATTATGGGAAGTACAATTCAACATGAGATTTGGGTGGGGACACAGCCAACTCATACCATCATCCACCACATCAAACCCACTAAGTGAGCTACATTTTTGCTGCGTGGGATGAAAATGTCCACACAGCACAGAGAAGAATATGTGCTTCATAGAGTAATGATAGTCAGCTTAACAAAAGATGCTTCCGTGAGAGGCTGATGGTCAGCCCTGAGATCAGTAACCAGAAGCCGTGGCTTCCAGAAGGCTGCCTGGATCTGGTTAGTGAGGATTTCAGTAGTGAAGTGACCAGCAATAGGAGTACCTCCAGTGGCAGAAGCGAACTTCAGCACAGCCCACTGGCCAGGATTCCTGGATGACCTGACATTGACATCAGCAGAGTTTTCAAGGGCAACAATGGCATAAGCTGTCAGCAGAAGCTTCTCCCAGGTCCTCTTCAGATTTAGGATGTAGATGTCATCAGTTTTCCTTTTATAGATGTACTGTTCCATTTGGAAGGGTTGGTGCCACCTAGCAGGTTCCAGCTACTAGGAACTAGAGGGCATCCTCCTCCTTCATTTGCAGGACATCAAGGACTCTCGACATTGTGAAAGTTTCCATTTAAGTTACCATGGGAACCCAGAGCAACACATGTGGACTCCTGTCTGGATAGTGCAGAAACCTAAACCTGCTTTATTATATCCACCCACATTTTCAAATTTCCAGCATTTTTATCTGACCTTTAAAGATAGTAAAGAAGTCAGAGTATTTTTAAGTATATAAAAGTAAATAATTACCTCATTAATCAGACAAGACTTTACTATAAAACCAAATACTTCTGAGTTAACAATATTGAATATTAACATGGTAAAAAGGCATCAGGATGAGTTCTTTTATGGAGAGGTCCTAAAAATATATAATATTGAAGTGTGTGTGTGACACCGGTAAGTTATATTGCACTCAGAAGTGCTGGGAATTCTTTGAGAGATTGGTTTATATTTGAGAACCTGCATGAGTCTAAGATAGCTCTCATCTTCTTCTAGAAAAGAACAAATGTGAAATAAGACCCCTGTTATTCCTTTAGGTCTTACTGAGATTTCTTCTTTTGCAAGAGGATGTGAGTTTTCTGTAATAACACCATACTTCGCATTGGATCACTAGGTAGTTATGGACTAATCTAGGGCTGAGGGAGAGATTTTTATGACACACTTTATAATAGACTTTCAGCGTTTTTCAGAAAGAAAATCCCACTGAGGATACAAAGTTTATATTTTTCTTTGACTGTAACACATCACAATAAAGATGATACTCTGCTGATATTTGAGATTCATGTTATCTGCAGGAAAACTTAAAGTGTTTTGTTCTATGTGACAGTGACACTATGTCTAAGAATGCTAAGGCAGAGAAAAATGGAGATTTAGGTAATATTTATATAGATAAGAAAGAAAGTTTAGGCTCATAGTCCAGAAAGTAAACTGCTAATTCTTGCCTAGTATTTTTTTTAAAATTTTTTTAATTCCTTGAGTCTCCTCAGTTTTGCATGATTTTGACACTGTTTGCAAGACAATTCTACATTATCTCTCCTTGTGTTTTGGTTTGAATTAAAAGTAATTTAGGATAATTTCAGTTTACCTAAAATTAATGAATCTAATTCTTTACCTGGTAAAAAAAAAATGTGTTGTCTTCCATAATCTGTCCCTCTGTAATTATTAATTTTACATGTTAAGGTCCAGATATTTGGTCAAACACTATTTTGAATTCTGCTGTGAAGGAATTTTTAAGATGATATTAACATGTAAATTAGTAGCCTTTGAGTGAAGCAGATTAACCTCCATAATCTAGGTGGGCCTCATTTCATCAGGTGAAGCCCTTAATGGTGGGGGGATGGAAAGACTGACCTCTCCTAACATCTTTCTCTCCTGAGGAAGAGGGAATCTGGCAGCAGACTGCCTTAGACTTGAGCTGCAACATTCATTCTTTCCTGGGTCTCCAGCTTGCTGGTCTATCCTGCAGATTTTGGACTTCCTAGCCTCTACAATCACATAAGCCAATTTCTTAAAATAAATCTATTTCTCTCTCTCTCTGTCTCTTTCTCCATCCATTCATCCATTCATCCATCTGTCTACACATTTTTTATTGTTTATTTTTCTCTGGAGAAACTTGACAGATACACCATCTGTTTATCAATCATTCTTGAAACAGAAAATTCTACCTATGTATGCACCTTGACTGGAAAGAGTTTTTGCCAAGTCTGTACTGTACCTAGTTAAGGCATATTTAGAAACATGGCCGTGGGAAAACAAAAAACAGCAAGATTAAAACATAGAGATATATTATATATCCTAATTCTACAAGGATGGTTCTGGCTTTACTTATGTGTGTATTAAGGTTTTTCTTCTCTTCTTCCACACTATTTTCTTATAGTTGACATATGGTAATATAGTAAGAAAAAATACACATATATTTCTTCTTGCAATATATATTCATTGGGATGTTTAACACTGAGTGTCAACCTGATTGGATTGAAGGATGCAAAGTATTGATCCTGGGTGTGTCTGTAAGGGTGTTGCCAAAGAGATTAACATTTGAGTCAGTGGGCTGGGAAAGGCAGACCCACCCTCAATGTGGGTGGGCACAATCTAATCAGCTGCCAGTGTGGCCAGAATATAAAGCAGGCAGAAAAACGTGAAAAGGCTAGACTGGCTTAGACTCCCATTCTACATCTGTCTCCCATGCTGAAAATCGGACTCCAAGTTCTTCAGCTTTGGGACTCGGACTGGTTTCCTTGCTCCTCAGCTTGTAGACAGCCTACTGTGGGACCCTGTGATCATCTGAGTTAATACTACTTAATAAACTCCCTGAGAATATATATCCTATGCTTTCGCTCTGGAGAACCCTGACTAATACATTCATATATACATAGTTTTAAAAATATATATATATTATATAAATATATAATATAATATATATATTATATAAATATATAATATAATATATATATTATATAAATATATAATATAATATATATATTATATAAATATATAATATAATATATATATTATATAAATATATAATATATTATATATATTATATAAATATATATTATATATATTATATAAATATATATTATATATATTATATAAATATATATTATATATATTATATAAATATATATTATATATATTATATAAATATATATAATATATATATTGTATATGGTAATATATGTGTATATTGCAATACATGCATGTATACATATGTGTGTATGTTGTATATATGTATATTGCAATATGTATATTGCAGTACATACATATATACATATGTGCGTACATTGCAATTTTTATATACATATGTATATATAACGCAATTTATGTATTGTATATACACATATGTACATATTATGCTTGTATACATACATATATGTTATATGTGTATGTATTGTATACATATATGTTATTTGTGTATGTATTGTATACATATATGTTATATGTGTATGTATTGTATACATACATGTTATATGTGTGTGTATTGTATACATGTTATATGTGTATGTATTTTATACATACATACATGTTATATGTGTATGTATTTGTATGCATACATACATGTTATATGTGTGTTTTGTATGCATACATACATGTTATGTGTGTATGTTTTGTATGCATACATACATGTTATATGTGTATGCATTGTATACATACATGTTATATGTGTACGTATTGTATACATACATATATGTTATATGTGTACGTCTTGTATACATATGTTATATGTGTACGTATTGTATACATGTTATATGTGTACGTATTGTATACATCTTATATGTGTACGTATTGTATACATACATCTTATATGTGTACGTATTGTATACATACATATGTTATATGTGTACGTATTCTATACATACATATGTTGTATGTGTACGTATTCTATACATACATATGTTGTATGTGTACGTATTCTATACATACATGTTGTATGTGTACGTATTCTATACATACATATGTTGTATGTGTACGTATTCTATACATACATATGTTGTATGTGTACGTATTCTATACATACATATGTTGTATGTGTACGTATTCTATACATACATATATGTTGTATGTGTATGTATTGTATACATACACATACGTGCATGTATTGCAATCATATGAAAGCACACACTGTTTCAGTCTCATAAAGGCAAATGCTAGCAAGAAATTAATTTCACTGTTAAATTTCCAATTATTTTCTAGATCCTGTAGCTCAGGAGCAGCAAAGGATTACAAAGAAACAAAATGCTGTGTGGGGGAGAGAGTATGAGGATATAAGAGAGCTAGCCTCACAAAAGATGTTTTCTCCTGGCCCATGAGAATAGCAACTGAGAAATATCTCAGAAATATCTGAGAGCCTGGAGGTCATCCCTCACAGCACATGAGAAGAGGAAGGGGATGCGGGTTTGCTGTTTTAACATTTGTAGGGCAAATTAGATGTACAAGACTCATTCTTTTATTATTATTATTATTGTTCTTTAAGTTCTAGGGTACATGTGCACAACGTGCAGTTTTGTTACATACGTATACATGTGCCATGTTGGTGTGCTGCACCCATTAACTCGTCATTTACATTAGGTATACCTCCTAATGCTATCCCTCCCCCCTCACCCCACCCCATGACAGGCCCTGGTGTGTGATGTTCCCCTTCCTCTGTCCATGTGTTCTCATTGTTCAATTCCCACCTGTGAGTGAGAACATGCAGTGACTGGTTTTTTTGTCCTTGTGATAGTTTGCTGAGAATGATGGTTTCCAGCTTCATCCATGTCCCTACAAAGGACATGAACTCATCCTTTTTTATGGCTGCAAGCGAGGACTGAGTCAGAGAGATGGGGATGGCAGAGGAGACAAAATGTGGTCAGGGCCGTGTAAGATGTGACCCTGCTGCCATATCTGAAAGAAAGGCTGTTGGTGTTTGTAAAGGCTTTGGGCAAATTGTGCTTTGTAGACAAAACTGTAGAAGGGTCTGGGTTTAAGCTTAGTGTCAGCGTGATGAGGACTAGAGGTCGCAGTGAGCTTGTGTTAAGAAATCCACCCTGCACTTCTGGCTTTGTCTCTTTCCTGGTTTTATAGGTGGTGGGTTCCTCTATGGAATGAATGTGGCTCTGTGGAAGGAACATAGTTAAGGTCAGACAGACCTAGATTCCAAGTTCAGCTTCAACAACTGCTGACCAAGTGACTTTTATGCAAATCAGCCATGTGCTGTCATGAACAGTTTCCTCATGTGTGAAACGGGGCACTGAGGATGTGAAGGGGTGTCCTGAGGATTCCGCCAGCTGATGCACCATGAAGTGTACATACATGTATAGACAGACACACACACATACATGAGAAGAGTATCTAGTGCCCCTTTTATGCATTCTTGAGTAACTCAGAATGTTATGTGAGATATTGACAGTCATATGTCATTTTCAACTAAAATTATCAATATTTATCTTATAACTAACAGATGCTTCTCTGTACACTGTAGG
Organism: Homo sapiens; assembly: GCF_000001405.40. NCBI lineage: Eukaryota > Metazoa > Chordata > Mammalia > Primates > Hominidae > Homo > Homo sapiens. Next base: position 76,733 of record NT_187504.1, on the reverse strand, counting down.
TTGCATGTACATTTCTTCAATCACAAAATTTTTCACCAATCTATTTATGTCTAGTATCAGAAAGTTAAGCAAGGAGATTGCAAACCAACACAACACCTTTAGTCTGGATTTTCCCGGAGCCCCATTTGTGTTAGTGTCCTCGGGCTACTGTAACAAGTTCTCAAAAATGTGGTAGCTTCAAACAGCAGGAATGGAATCTCTCATAGTTCTGAAGTCCAGATCAGTTTCACTGGGCTAAGATCTTGGAGTCATCAGTTCTGGCTCCTTCTGAAGCTCTAGGGGGCAGTCTGATTTAGCTCTTCCAGCTTCTGGTGGCTTCTCTCTCCCGGGATGTGGACACATCACTGCAATCTCTGTCTCTGTGTTCACATTGCCTTCTCCACTTCAGTCTATGCTAAATGTCTCTCTACCTCTTGGTTTTTTTAGGACACTTGAGTTTGCATTTAAGTCCCAGTTGATTAATCTAAGAATATCTCCCTGTTTCAAGCTCCTTAATTTACACCTGCAAAAGCTGTTTCCCCAAATGAGATACATGCATAGTCTTCTTGGAATGAAACCTCACTATTTGGGGATGATACTCAGTACTGCACCATTACATAACCAGGTCTCAGTGTTAGTCCTGTACATACATCACAATCTCTCTCTCTCTCTCTCTCTCCATACACCCTGGCTTCCTCCTTTTCTCAATGTCATAAATCTCTTCAATTCCTTAAGTGTATCCAGTGATACCTATGAACAAATAAGTATCTGAGAAAAGTCTCAATCAGTTTAGAAATTTATTTGGTCAAAGTTAAAGAAATATCAGTGAAACAGCCTCAGGAGGTCTTGAGAACGTGTGTCAAAGGTTGTCGGGCTACAGGTTGGTTTTACACGTTTTAGGGAGACATAAGATATCAATCAATACGTGTAAGCTGTACATTGCTTTGATATGGAAAGGCAGGACAGCCCGAAGGAGGGGGGATGTTGGGGACTTCCAGGTCATAGGTGGATTCAGAGATTTCATAGGTGGTTGAAAGCGTTTATCTAATGACCTGTAATCAACACAAGGGAGTTTCTGGGTTTAGAAAAAGGGTTTTGGAGCCAAGGTTGCATCATGCAGATGAAGCCTCCAGGTAGCAGGCTTCAGAGAGAATAGATTGTAATTGTTTCTTAGTAGACTTAAAAGGTGCCAAACTCTTAGTTAAATCTCTCTGGGTCAGGAAAGAGATTTAAAAAGGAATCTCTACAGAATGTAGATTTTTCCCACAAGAACCAGCTTTGCAGAGGCATTTTTAAATAACATTAAATAACAATATCTTGGGGAAAATACTTTGATTTCTCTTAGGACATGGTATCTGTCACATTGGTATCTTATTGCTATAAAGAGTTTTCTTTGTCAGTCTCAAGGTCTCTGTCTTCATATTAAAAGCTGGTCAGTTGTGCCTGAATTTTAAAGGGAAGAGGGTAAGTTCAGGCATATCCAATCATCCGTTCCGATCATGGACTGCATTGTATTTCAGGTTGATTTTGGTGTGTCCTTGGCTGAGAGGAGGAGTTCATTCAGTTGGTTAGGGAGCTTAGAGTTTCATTTTTGTTTTACTCACCTATGTCCAGGTAAGAGGGCCCCACACAGGAGGGCTTGCTCAGAACCTGGCTTGCAGGGCTGCTTACAGACCTTCTATGTCTCCTGTTGTCATGCACAAGGAAGGACACAGCCAATGACAACCCTCAGCCATCCGGGGAGAAGCTGTGTCTGCAGAGGACGGTCATGAGCTGTGAGTCTAGAGACCTGTGATTGTCTTCAGGGGCCTGTGGTCCTCAGCTTTCATAGGAGTTGTGGGGGCACTGGCTCAAATAGCATCCACCAGGATTCTAATCAGAATATCTCATTCACAGAAGGCAGTGGGTGATATGACAGCACAGAGGGACTCTGTGGGGCCAGCTGCATGGAGCACTCTGGGAGAGTCACTGGCACCCGTGCTAGACAGATCTTCATTCAACTTCTGGAGCACACGGATTTAGATCTCTTTACATCATTTTGAAAGACCATTTATCATTCTGAAGGAAACCACTGTAATTAACTAAGGTAACATCTTTAATAGGTAGAAAGAAAAAACTGATTATTTTATTGCCAAGATGATTACAAGAAAAGAAACAAACAAAAATAGCATGAAAGAAAGAGCAACACTAGACTGAGGGCTTTGGGTAAGAGGTTGAGACTTAGTACTGAATGCCCTGGGCCATCTTCTGTCAAAAGGGAGGGACAATCAGCAAAGGGAAATATGCAGTAGAGGCAAAATCTTGGTTAGTAAAAGAATCCTAAGAGAAAACAAGAAGTCTCCTTCCTGAGCATCATGTTGGTGTCGGGAAGATGCACATAATCCCCCCATTGCATGTCTTACACTTTTCAGCAATTAGGGCTCAGCATGAATTTAGAAGACATCATTCACTTCACAGCACATCGGGACACAGTCAAGGCAGCGGTGAGAGGCAAGGCTGGGCTTTCAGTCTCAGCGCACAGAGCAGGTTCCCCACTACTCCGCACCCTGGTGTCTCCTCCCAGATGTTCCACCTCATTCTTGCCTTAAGGGCTCCAAGTTGTTAATGGGACAGTAGCCCTCTTCCTTTCCCAGGGTTTCTAAGAATTTGGCTCTCTTTTGTGTATTGTGGGGTTTGTTTGCCATCTAGAGGCAGCTTTTTGGCATAGCAACTTACAGGCTTTTTCTACTTGTGATAGTGAAAATAAATACATAAATAAATTCATCATAAATAATAAATTGACTTAATGCATTGAATCTGTAAAAAAAAATAAGGTCAGTTTGAGAGCTTAAAAGGAGCCTGATGAGGATGAAAAGACAAATTACCTTTAGTAAAGAGCAGTTGGAGCAATAGATGATTCTTTAATCAAGGACATTTTAAGAGTAATCATCAAATGGTAAATAAAACTTGAAATAAGATGATAAAATATAATCTTATATGCAAAAAAAGTCCAAGAACCAGAGAAATACATTTTCAGATTAAAACAAACAAAAAATGTGGGTTTATCATCAGATCCGCTAAATGGAAGATGTCTCAAATGTGTGCTTGGAGGAAAAATAACACTTATCCCTATTTGAAAGTTCAAGATTTTTGAGCTTTAGAAGAAAACAGCTTTCCCTTCACTCTGTTCCACTCAACGCTTCTGAGGATGGCCATGGGGCAAAAAGCCGAGGCGGCAGGGGCAAAAAGCCGTGGCGGCAGGGGCAAAAAGCCGTGGCGGCAGGGGGGCAATAAGCCGCGACGGGCAAAAAGCGGCGTCGGCGGGGGGGCAAGAAGCCGCGGCGGGCAAAAATCCGCGGAGGCAAAAAGCCGCGGCGCGGGAAAGACCGCGGCGGCAGGGGCCAAAAAGCCTCGGCGCGGAAAAGACCGCGGCGGCGGGGGTGCAAAAAGTCGCGCCTGGCAAAAAGCCGCGGCGGCGTGGGGAACAAGCCGCGGCGGGCAGAAAGGCTCGGCGGCGGGGGGCAAAAAGCCGCGGCGGGCATAAACCCGAGGAGGCGGGGCGGCAAAAAACCCCGGTGGGGAAAAAGCCGCGGCGGCGGGGGGCAAAAAACCGCGGTGGGGAAAAAGCCGCGGCGGCGGGGGGGCAAAAAGCTGCGGCGGGGAAAAGGCCACGGCGGCAGGGGGTAAAAAGCCGCGACGGCGGGGGGGCAAGAAGCCGAGGCGCGCGAAAAGACGCGGTGGGGGGGGCAAAAAGCCGCGGTGGTGGGGGGGCAAAAATCCGCGGCGACAAAAAGCTGCGGCGGCGGGGGTGAAAAAGCCGCGGCGGGAAAAAGCCGCGGCGGCGGAGATGAAAAAGCCTCGGCGGCGGCGGGGCAAAAAGCCGGGTCGGGTAAAAAGCCGCGGCGTCAGAGGGCAAAAAGCCGCGGCGGCGGGGTGCAAAAAACCGCGGTGGGGAAAAAGCCGCGATGGTGGGGGGGCAAAAAGCCGCGGCGGCGGAGGGCAAAACGCTGCGGCGGGCAAAAAGCTGCGGCGGCGGGGAGCGAAAACCCGCGGCGGGCATAAACCCGCGGCGGCGGGGGGCAAAAAGCCGCGGCGGGCAAATAAGGGCGGCACCGGGGGGTGCAAAAAGCCGCGGCGGGCAAATAACCGCGACACCGGAGCGAGGGGGTGGGGGCAAAAAGCCGCGGCGGGCGAACAAAAAGCCGGGGCGGCGGGGGGGCAAAAAGCCTCTGCGGCGGGGGCGCAAAAAGCCGGGTCGGGCAAAAAGCCGCGGCGGCTGGGGGGCAAAAAGTCGCGGCCGGCAAAAAGCCGCGGCGTCAGGGAGGCAAAAAGCCGCGGCGGCGGGGCTGCAAAAAACCGCGGCGGGCAAAAAGCCGCGGCGGGCAAAAAGCCGGGTCAGGCAAAAAGCCGCGGCGGCGAGGTGAAAAAGCCATGGCGCTCAGAAAGGCGCGGCGGTGGGGGGGCAAAAAGCCGCGGCAGGCATAAACCCGAGGCGGCGTGGGGGGCAAAAAACCGCGGTGGGGAAAAATCCGTGGCGGCGGGCGGCAAAAAGCCGTGGCGGCGGGGGGGCAAAAAGCCGCGGTGGAGAGGGGGCAAAAATCCGCGACGACGCGGGGCAAAATAGTGGATCTGGTGTAGAAGGCCGGCACAGCTTGGCATTGCTGGAGTGTGATGAGATAGGAAATGTGCAGCGAAAGACAAAAAAAGATGTAAGTAGGCTTGACTCATTGCAGCTAAGAACCCAGATGTTATCTTGAGGGTTTTAACTAATAAGCAGTTTAAATCAGAATGGCACATTCTGATTTTTTTTTATATGTTCACATTTGACAGGCATAGATACTGTTTGAAAAGAGAAAAGTCAGTAGATAGAGGTAACAAACTTAAATATGTGCCGAGTCTAGAAACAAGAGACTAGGGAGATAAGGACCTTTGGAAATAAAATGCAAGATTTGAAAACTGGCTGAGGGATGAGGAAAAGGCAGGTCTTTAAGGTCAATCCCTGTTTTGCTTTAAGTTGTTAGGGGGTGGTTTTACCACATATTGTAGAATACATCATTTCAGTTTTGAGCATCTTGAGTTAAATTGTCCTAACATATCTCATGAATTTGATTTTCTTCCCTGGGAAGCTAATATTTCAAAAACTTAAAGAGTATATAGGTTTCCAACTGGTATCCAATTTATAAAACTATCTCTAGGCTGCTGATTTCAGGAGGAGGCTCATGAATATTCTATTTGCAGAGAATATATCAGGAGTTAACATCAGTGTCAATATTTGTGGATGACCAGTTAACTAAACCACCTCTTAGTGTATTTAGATGGGAAATCTTAGCTGAAGATATTCAATAATGAACCAACAGTGACTAAAAAATTCAATATTGAAGTATATTTCATTGTAATTAATTTGAATTGAAGTAGCCATATACAGCTAGTATTTACTACATTCAACAATGCAAATAAGAGGAAAAAAGAACCATCTCTAATACCACATGCCAAAATCCTCATCAATTTATTCTAGCTAAAGGAGTTGATCAGAAGCAGCAGTTGAAAGCACCAACTAAACCAGCTGGGGTTAGTTCACTGTCATTCTCTCAGAACCATCTCTTCTCTGAACAAAACAAGTACAAGAGTTCATTGTGAATCTGTATTCTCCTTGCCTATTTTAAGGTTTTGATGTTGACAGTAATTTGTGAAATCCCTCCTGTGGTGTGATATTTCGTTTTCCTTGCTTTCTGTTAGGAGAAGAATGCTTCAGCTCTTAATTTAAAATTATGTTTCTCCCTCCTAGGTTGAGTGAACTTAGAATGCATTCTCTGACATATCCAAGTTTTTCTTAATGTGAATTTGGGGAAAAAGCATAGTTAATTAGCTGAGACTTCTTATTCTAGGCTTGACCCTGTGTTCGACATCTATTGAATTTGTAGTTGCATGGGCTGCTCTCTGACACTGGTTACTGACCTGGAAGCTATATTAACGTTAGGGGAGGTGGTGTATGAGCATTAGAGGTATCCTTGCAAGGAAAGACTTGTCTTATCTCAATACGTCTTTTTTTTTGCACACAAGAAAGTCAATGTTTGAGTCTTCTAAAATCTTCCTATTTCCAAGTTGCAGAGTACCATTGATTCCTAAACAAAGACCTAATTTTTGACTCAGAGACGTGGCAAGGTAGTGAATCACCATTATAATTTAACAATCTTCAAGATAAAATTATCTCTCTGACATTTAGATTTTGCCCAATTATTAAGATATTTGGGTGTTTCGTTAAGAATGGAAGATTCTAGTCTCTTGAGCAGAGACTATAAAGGCCTCAGATGATCATTTTTAATTTTATGCTCTTTTCTTTAACACCTTCAACACAGTTGGAAGCAGCTGATATTCCCCAGAGTTGTTGTGTTTTTTAAACCAAATGCATGGTTCAGTGGTAGAAAACTGGGCTGACCCAAGCTGTTTTCAGTAAACATTTCATTTCAGGTGACCTATTTCATATTAAATAATCTCTAGATCCTGTCTTCCAAACTAACTAGATCAGATAACCTACCCTGGATTTTCTCCTTTTAGGGTCTGTGAGCTGCAGTCACTTTTGTGAAAATGATTGCAATGACAAGATAGAGTTGTAGATGGGGAAAATGTTTTGACTAATTTAAGCATAGTGGTATTTCATATGAGAATTTAAGTTACACACATTTGAAAATTATAATGGAGTCTCTTGGCTGAGCTTTAAAAAAAATAGCATTTAGGCTAAACAGGGAAATGCTACCTCTCCTAAAATCAGAAAGATGTTACAGTAATTCTCCATTCTCTAGAATTATCAGGAAGCACCTTTGTGATGATTTACTTTTGCTCTTGGGAGTGTGAGCCCGTGTAGTCTTGGAACCATCAATTAGAATGATGGCTTTCTGATCCCAAAGTCATTCGTTCTGAAAACAATATTTTTCATAAATTTGAAAGTGAGAAGTTTTGATCTTGCCATTCCCAAGTAACTCTCTTAATAAGAGGCATCAGCATGCTTCAGTGACAGCTGTCACCTTCCAGTGCTGAGAGTCATCTTTGAGTTCTCCATTTCACTCCCTACACTCCAATTTAGCTGCAGTTCTCTTGGCCAGTCCTCTGAAATACATCCATGGCCTAACGACTTCTCACCACTAATACCACTCATCCTGACAGCATTCTCACCTAAGTCACTACCTTTTTTCTCTGGATTACAATAGCCTTCCAATTTATTTGCTCACATAACCTATTTATTCTACGCGGTGCACCAGATACACCCCATTGAAATGCAAACACAATCATGTTATTCTCTGGTGAAAGTATCTCATATATTCCTATTGCATTTAAAATTAATTCAGAATAATCCCATGATTATCAAAACCCTACATGCTCTTCCACAATATGGTTTACTTCCAAGATATCTCTTCAACTCTTTTTTCACTGTACTGAATTGGTGACTAATAGTCATATTTTTGTTTTTGCTCAAAAAGTCTTGACTTCTAAATTTTTCAGTTTCTCCTTTATCCACAGGTAACTCTTTCCTCATAAGGCAAATTGCTTGCTTCCTTGAGATCTGCTCTCAAAGATACCCTTCATTTTCTACCTAATATTAATAACTTTAATCATTCATTATTCCATTACTATGCTCTATAGTGTATACAATTTCTGTTCTTTGTCATGTTATTAACTAAATTATTTATTTGTTCCAGTAACGTATTCCATAAATATTATACGCATAAAAGTTGTTATTTTTATTGCTGTATGCTCAGCTGCCCAATAACAGTCTGAGGATTAACATATTTGTTAAATGCACAAATACGTTCTTTCATAAATATTAGTTTAATAATTTTATATTAAACTCCCTCTATATTTACAATATGAATTAGATAATTCAGAATAAACATTCCAGTGGAAAAAACTAAACAATTTGTTATAAAACATCCTTAAAAGCATCAGAAAGTTAATACATCAATGAAGAATTACAGGACCAAATTAAGAATGGTATGGAAGCCTGTTTGTGAGGCTTATGTTTGGGTAATCTCTTTACTTAGAGTGACTGTAAATCTCAAAAGAGGATTAAACGGAGAAATAACCATATCAACTCACATGGTAAGGGTATTTAAACATCTCTTAGTAATGGAGAAAATTGAAAGAAAAGAAAAAAGAGAAAGGGAGAAAGAGAAACAGAGTGAAAGGGATAATGAAGGAGAGAAAGAAGAAGAGAAAGGAAGAGGAAGAAAAGTAAAGAGGAGGAGGGAGAGGGAGGAAGAAAGGTGAAAAGAAAGAATGCTAAAGTTTTCAACAACATAATTTATCCTAGAATATGAATGTTGGTCTATTTGATGATGTCCCACAGATTCCTTAGTCTCTGCTCATTTTTTATCTGTTTCTCAGAGTCAATATTTTCCATTTTCTTATCTTCAAGCTCATGACTTCTTCTGTGTGTGCAAATATACTCTTAAATCCCTCTGGTGATTTTGAAATTTTTATCGTTGTAGTTTTCCACTCCAGAATTTCTGCTATCTCTGTTGATATTCCTACATTTTAATATTTTTTCTGAATCCTTTATTTCTTTGTTTATGTTTTCCTTGTGACATTTGAGTATAATTAAGAGAGTTGTTTTAAAGTCTTTGTCTAGTAATTTTGAAGTCTGGGTTTCCTTAGAGATATTCTCTGTCAGTTTGTTTTTTTCCTTTGAATGAGCCACACTTTCCCATTCTTTGTATGCCTTGGAACTTTTTTTGAAAACTGGGCATTATAATAATTATAATTACTATGTGGTTACTCTGTAAATCAGACCCCCCCACACAAACACAGTAATGTTTTGGGGTTTTAAATTTTCTTTACTTATTATATTGTTAAGGATTTTTTTTTTTACTGAAATTTTCCAAAGTGATTTACAAAACTGTTTGCTTTATAAGGTGTGGTCACCGAAGTCTTTTTGTTTCCTTGACAAATGTTAAGCTAATGTTTTGACAGTGATTTTCTTGTATGTCAGGAACTAAGCAAACAGGCAAATACAACAAAAACAAAAAGAAAAACAAGTAATCATTATCCAGCAAAATATGTCTCTAGGCCATGCAGACTGGCTTCGTGCTGGGTTCTTTAAAGCCGAAACAAAGTGTGTGTTCACTCTTGCACTGAGTGAAGTTCAAGTTCACTCTTGCACAGAGCTTGCACTGAGGAGAGGGATTCGCCAAGGTAAAAGTGTAGGGTCTTCTTATGACATTTGTCAGCATGTGGCTTAACCTATGCATACATGTGACTTCCTAGACTCTCTCGTGTACTTGAATGATTTTGAATGTCTTAGTTTTCTAAATACTCTTCTCCAACTTTTCTTCCTGTGCTGAAGGTGATCTACTACATGTGTAAGCTCTAATTTTTGCCCTAAGCATCTGTGGTTTGTTAGGTCTCCTTGCAGAGTTTCTTGATAATGTCCATTCCTTATCTGTTCTGTATTCTAGCAACACAGAAAAAACAAAAGCCTTTCATGAGTCCTTTAGGTATCCCCCAGACCAGTCAGAACAGACACATAGTAATTTGTTGGTAAGATCTTCTCTTGTTCCTTTGGATCATGGACCAGGGTTCCTCACTGGGAACGTGGGCTTCTGACACTTCAAAACTGCCAATTTGCTGCTGCAAAGGCAAGCTAAAAATGTCATAAAGTTTTCAAATTGTCTTTTTCTTGAGTCTGCTTTCACTTGGTTGTTGTAATCTTTTGACCATTTTCCAGAGTTTTGGCAAAGTTTATTCGGACAGTTTCTCTTAGTTGTGTGATGTTTCTATGGGGAAATGAAAGATTGCAGCTGTCTCCACTGCCGTTTTGCTGATGCTCCTCTTTTGTCAATTTTTTCTTCATGTTATTATGCTTTGTTATTAGTTCATGTATTAGTTTTCTAGGGCTCCCATAACCAACTAACACAAACTGGGTGCCTTGAACAACATACATTTATAGTCTTATAGTCCTGGAAGCTAAAAGTCTGAGATTGAGGTGTCAGCAGGGATGGTCCCTTCAAAGGCTATGAGAGAAAGTCTGTTCTGTGCCTTGTTTCTTGCTTCTGGTGGTTTAGTGGCAGTCTTTGCCCTTCCTTGGCTAATCTCTGCCCTCATAATCACATGGTACTCTCCCTGTGTGTATGTCTCCCTCTACTCAATTTTTTTTTATAAGGACATCAGTCATATTGAATTCAGGCTCATCTGATTTTATCTTAACTTAATCACCTGCAAAGAACCTATTTTCTAATGAGGTCATTTTCAGTGGTTAGGATTTCAGCATCTATATAGAGGAAACAATTTAGCTCCTATCTGTGCATACATGATTGTAATAGCTATGTCTTCCGAAAGCGTTGACCCTCTTATTACTACAATATAAATTTTTAAAATCCTATTCACATTTTATTAGTCTACCTCGTGTGTTATGAGTATAATGAGTTCAGTTTTCTTATGATTGCTCTTTACATGGTATTTTTTGTCATCTTTTTACTTTCAATCCATTAGTATCCTTGCATCTCTGGGTATATTGGGATCACTTGTTTTAATCCAGTCTGACAATCTCTGCCTCTTGAAGGGATTTTAATCTGCTCACATTTAATATTATAATTGGTATAATTCTATTTATGTCTGCCATTTTACCGTTTGTTGTGTATATTTCTCAAATATTTTTCTTTCTTTATTTTGCAATGAATGAATATTTTCTAAAATAGGGAACTCTAGATTACTAATGAATTATTTTACTATATATTTTTGAGAATTTTTGTGGTTGTTGTAAGTTTACCATATAGGTATATGGAAAATTAGTTATTCAAATCATCTTCCAATTTATACCAGTAAACTTTTAGTAATACATAGAAACATCATTCTTATACAAATCTCTTTTATTTCCTCCATTTTAAAGTATTATCACTTTACACGTTACATCTATTAACGTTACAAAGCCAACAATATATTTTAGTAATTATTGCTTTACCATCTAGAGTGATTACCTTATCACAATACATTTTTCTTCCAACTACCTCCTTTTTGATGTTACTGGAAAATATGTTATAGACGTATTACATTTCCATATGTCAAATACTCAGCAATACATTATGCACATATCATTATTATTATCATTGAGATGGAGCCTCCCTCTGCCACCCAGGCTGGAGTGCAGTGGCACAATCTCCGCTCACTGCAAGCTCCATCTCCCGGCTTCATGCCATTCTTCAGCTTCAGCCTCCCGAGTAGCTGGGACTACAAGCGCCCGCCATCACGCCCGGCTAATTTTTTGTATTTTTAGTACAGACAGGGTTTCACTGTGTTAGCCAGGATGGTCTCGATCTCCTGGCCTCGTAATATGCCCGCCTCGGCCTCCCGAAATGCTGAGATTACAGGCGTGAGCCATCGTGCCTGGCCGTTATATGCATATTATTTTATAAACAATTTATGATAAAGAGAAAACATGCATTTCTACTGTTTTTATAATGTTAATATTACCTATACCAGTACTTTTTTAAAAATGTGGATTCAAATGACTGGCTTGTGTAACTTGCTTTTAGCCTTAGGAATTTATTTTAGAGTTTTTTTTTTATATGGTAGGTCTGCCAGCAACAACTTCAGTTAATATTTCTGTTTATCTGGGTAAGTCTTTGTGTTATCTTCATTTTTGAAAAATAATTGCTGGATAAGGAATTCATGGCTGACAGTTTTTTTTCCTTTGCATCTTTTGAATATATTTTTCTACTGCCTCTTGTCTTCCATTGTTTCTCTTAAGTCAGCTGTTAATCTTACAAAACATAGGTGCTCAAAAAATAAACATGTGCATGAATATTTACAGCATTAATATTCATACAGTCAAAAAGTGGAAACAATCCATATGCTTGTTGAGTCATAAATGGACACCCAATTTTCAGCTATAAAAAAGAATGAAGTACTTATATATGGTATAATATGGGTGAAATTTGAAAGCATTATGTTAAGTGCACAAAAGGACAAATATTACTTGATTTTATTCACATGAAACATCAGGAATTGGCAAATCAATTGGGATATAAATCAGGTTAGTGGTCGTTAGGGCTCAGGGAAGCAGAATAAGGTGTAATAACTTTATGCCTAATGGGTTTTTGGAAGGGACATGATGAAATTGCCCTGGAACATTGTGAATATACTAAAAACAAGTGCATTGTATGCTTTAAAATGGTTAAGTTATTAATTTTATATTTTGTGATTTTTACCTTAAAAAACAAAAAAGAGAAAATAGCCTTACTCTCTACATAATAAACTCAAGATATCTTACAAATTTATGTGAAATCCAAAATACTATAATATTTAAGGAATAGCTAAGTAGAATAACACTGAAATTTAACATAATGAAACATTTCCTTAAAAAAGAAAAAAGCACAGTAATTAAAAAGGGAAATATATTTAATATTTTTTCTCTCCATTAAGCATGCCATTAACTGAGTAAAAAATCAAACTGCAATTATGTAAACTACATTTTCTAAAACCACAAAGAAAATAAGAAATGAAAAGGGATTTGGGAAAAAAATCCAAAGGTACAGTCAACTACACAAAAAAATCTTAGTCTCATTAATCATTATGAAAATGCAAATGGTAACTGAAAGAAGATAAAACTACAATTCAAAGAGAAAGCCTAAAATTTCAACCCTCAAAAACCTCTGGGTTTTGGTGATCTGGGATGGAATAGGGTTCCTAACCTGACAACAATGGAAGAACCAAACTAACTTCAAAGTCATGACTTTATTTTTATAGCAACCAGGTTGCCAAGAACTGAGTCAAAATATGAGGGAAAACAAGCAACTTCAAGGAGAAAGAGGACAGATGCACTTACATAGGACAGATGCAAATACCACTATGACAAGTAAAGCTGGAATAATCAATAAATTCCTAAAGACAAAGTGGGGCTGGTGAGATTGGGAGACCGCTGACAGCTGCAGAAGTTTGGAAAGATCCATCATCTTGAAAACTTTTTCCCCACAAACCCACTGCGATCTCTCAAGCAATTGGTAAGGAATCCAAGAGAGTCTGTATATGACACAGATCAGGGAGAGCAGAACACTTGGGAGGTGACCAGGTCTTGGGGGCCGAGCCCTTATGAATGGGATTAGTGCCTTTATAAAATAGCTCAATGGAGTTCTTGTGTGTCTTCCACTATGTGAGGACATAGAAAGAAGGCACCATCTATGAACCATGAAATGGGCTCTCATCAACACTGAATTTGTGAGCATCTTGACCTGAGATCTTACAGCCTCAAGAAGTGTGAAAAAAGAAATATCTGTTGTTTTTTAGTCACCCGGTTTATGTTATTTTGTTATAAGAGTCCAAATAGACCAAGATATTCCACTTAATATGTAGGGGAAGGCAACAAAAACTGCCACACTTAGAATACTCCCGATGCTGGCAGTATGAAAACAGGAAAAACAAAACAAAACTGCTCTTGAAGTGAAGGAGGAATATCACTGAGTTCACCAACACAGCCAGGAAAAGAACAGAAGTGTGAGAAGGCTACATTCCTAAGACCTTGAGAAAAAGTACCTGCATAAGACTGAGATGAAATTACCTACTCTAGTTATGATTGAAATCCCAAAAAGAAAAGAGGAAAAAATAATGGAGCCAAAGAAATATTTTTCAAAACAACTGCCAAAAATATTCTAAAAGAAGTGACAGAAAATCAAACTTCAGATATAGGAAACTCAGAGAATGTCAAATAGAACAAAAATAAATAAGAATTACATCTTGAAAACTCTTTAAAAATCAAGTCTAAATTTTATACCGTGCTCCAAATATATAGAGATATAAATAGGTTATCATCAAGGTATGGAGAATGCCATATCATGGAAACACTAAAATAAAGCTGTGGATGGACTACGTTGATATTAGACACAACAGAGTTCAGAACAAGAAATAGTATCAGAGATGAGAGATAATAGATAATATAATCATCAATTCTCAAGAAGATGTAAACATCCTACTAATTAGGGTATGCAGCTAACAACAGAACCTCCAAATACATGAGGAAAAACATGAAAGAAATCAAAGGTGAACTAGAAAAATCCAAAATTATATTTGCAGACTTCAACACTTTTGTCTTAGTAATGGAAAGACTAGGCACAAACTCAGTAATCATGTGGAAGATAAGAACAACAATATCACCAACAAGACATCCAATCTTCAATGGCAGATACTCTTTCCTTTCAAGTGAAAAAAAAAAACAGTTTGACATATTCTCTAACAAACCCAGAATTTCTAATATTTGCGGTCTTCCTTCCTTCTTTCCATCTTCCTTTCTCTTCTCTTCCCTTCCCTTGCCTTCTTCCTTCCTTTCTTCTTTTCCTCTTCCTTTTATTTTCTTTTTTCTTTTCCTTTCTTTCTTTTCTTTCTTTTTTTTCCTTCCTTCCTTCTTTCCTTCTTTCTTTCTTTACCTTATTCTTCCTTCCCTCGTCCCTCCCTTCCTTTCTCCCTCCCTTTTCTTCCTTCTTTTCTAGTATTATTTCTTTCTTTCTCACGTTCTTGCTTTCTTTCCTTTTTTCTCCCTTCCTCCCGCCCTCCTTTTCTTCCTTCCTCCCTCCTTCCTTTCCTCTTTTTCCTTCCTTCCCCTCTTTATTTTCTTTGTTTCTTTGCCTTCCTCCCTTTTACGATTCTCTCTTCCTCCTTTCCTTCCTCCCTTCCTCCTTTCTTTCTTTCTCTTTCCCTTTCTTTCTCTTTCTTTCTTTCTTTCTTGTGTTCATGCTTTCTTTTTTCTCCCTTCCTGCCTTTCTCCCTTCCTCCCTCCCTCCCTCCTTTCCTTCCTTCTCTCATTTCCTCCTTCTTTTCTTTCGTCTTTATTTCCTTCCTTCCTTCCTTATTTCCTTCCTTCTTTTTCTTTGTTTTCTTTTCTTTCTTTCTCTTTACTACAATTCATATTATTCTAAAAAAATTAAGAGAGGGAGGCAGAAAAATAAAGAACGCTTTAATCTGCAGGTAAATAGATTATGTCTGCTGTAGGCAAAAGAATGGCCTCCCAAAAATTTTCATGTCCTAATTCCCAGAGTCTAACATACAAATATGTTTGGTTGCACGGCAGTGTGAAATTAGATTTCAAGTGAAATTAAGGTTGTGGAAAAATGATAGATTATCTTAAATGGGTGGGATCAATGAAATCACAAACTTCCTTATAAGTGAAAGAAGAAGGCAGACGAAAGGCAACCTTGGAGGTGGTGGCATGAGAAATTACTCAACATCACTGACTTTTATGATACCAGAATGAGGACCCAGCGCAGTGGCTCACGCCTAATCCCAACAGTTTGGGAGGCTGGGGTGGGTGGATCACGAGGTCAGGAGATGGAGACCATTCTGGCTAACATGGTGAAACCCCTACCCTACTAAAAATACAAAAACAAAATAACTGGGAATGGTGGCAAGTGCCTGTAGTCCAAGCTACTCAGGAAGCTGAGGCAGAAGAATCACTTGAACCCGGGAGGCAGAGGTTGCAGTGAGCTGAGATCGTGCCACTGCGCTCCAGCCTGGATGACAGAAGGAGACTCCATCTCAAAAAAAAAAAAAGAAAGAAAAATAGGATATAAGAATGAGGTCATGTTCCAAGGAATAAAGGTGGCCTCTGGATGCTGAAAAAAATCAAGTACATAGATTCTGCCACATAGCCCTCAGAAAGACTGCAGCCCTGCCCAAAACTTGATGTTAGTTAGCCCTGTGAGTTTCATTTAAGGCTTCTGAACTACAGAACCGTAGGATTAACGGTCACTTTATTGTAAGATATGAAGTTTGTAGTAATTGGTTACAGCAGCAAGAGGAAGTTTATATTGTAATTGTATCATGAAAATGAGAACCATAATTTACAACTGCTTTTAATACTGCATTTGGATGTTTGAAATCACGTACATGGAAATGATCTCTATGTGCATGAGGGAGGATAGCAAATTGATGCCAAAATAATGCAAATGCAAATCTTACACTCATTTCGATGTAGGTTTCATTTAATCTTTGAAATTAAAATGAAATTCAGATTGTGATATTTTGATGAAATTAGACTAAAATGAACAATAACAAGATAATAACTTACTTATATTCTTTATATGGTCAATAAAGAAGTGATAGTGGAAAAAAACAAGATCAAATGAAGGTGATGATTTAGGAAGTTGGAAAGATAGCTGAAACTACAAAATGGTATATAACCAGTGAACACTTAGATACACTGATTGATGAACTTCAGCTTTTGACTTGGTGAAAGCATAAAATGAGAGCAGCTGAGGTTTGCAAATTTGTAATCTCCTTGTGGAAAAACAGGGGAAAACACATCTCAGCCTAATAAGATTTATCTACTAAAGAGTCTAGACTTGATCCATTTGTCCTTGGAATTCAAAAGCTAATTCAAATACTGATTTGATGCATTGTGTGAACAACCATTGCTGATTATCATCGCATACCTCACAATCTCTTTTATCTGATATCTAAAATATTTGGTAATTCCTGGACTTTCTCTTTTCAAACCCAGTACGATTTAATTTCAATCTTAGAACAGTTGTCTTTGAGAAATTCTTCCCTCTACTGCATCTGTGAATGGGCATAGCATGGTTACATACATACTGTCACTCCATAGAACATTTGCTAAATTAAAGCCAAAGTTTAAAGCAAGAGCTTTAACTTACTGGTTTTACTAATGTTTTCCTCCCCAATAGCCACAACAATATTGATACCCTCACACTTTTTAACATAAAGCTTGGTGTTGTCTATTTTTCAGGTGCTGTCATCTATATGATCTCAGTATTTTAAAAATCAGCTTCCAGCCCATATGGTGATTCATGCTTATAATACCAGCAGTTGAAGAGGCTGAAATGAGAGGATTCTTTGAGCCCAGGAGTTCAAAAGAAACCTGGGCAACATAGCAAGACCCAGTCTCTATCAAAAGTTAAAAAAAAAAAGTGGGCATGGTGATGTGCACCTGTTGTCCTAGCTATTTGTGAGGCCAAGGTGGAAGGATTGCTTGAGCTTGGGAGGCTGAGGCTGCAATGAGCAGTGATTGCACCACTGCACTCCATCCTGGGCACCAAAGCAAGACCCTATCTCAAAAAATATATATCATAGAAACAAAAATCAGCTCTCATTGATTTCTATGTAAATATGCACAGGTGATGTCCATATAGACATAAATAATAATATTTCTGACAATGGGTCCATATGATCTTCAAAATGTAAAATGCCTATCTGTGTAATTGACTGGTTAGTCTCATTAATGAATGTAGATTCAATTCTACTTTCTTGTTCTAGGTAAATTATATAATCTAGCTTTTCATTTCACTTATTTACTGATAACAACAGGAAGAATGACAAGATACCTATTTTGGAAAATTACTCTGGTAGGAGTAAAGATGAAACAATGATAGAATTGCACGGAAAACTAGAAAAAAGTATGGTCTTCTGATGTTCTATCACATCACATACTAAAGGCCTCATAAGACTCAGATATTTTATCTAAAAATGTTATTTTCATCTTAGGAATGATCAAAGCATGAGACTACAATTGTATTAAAATGTGCTTGTATCACAAGCACATGTGCTAAAAAGGAGGGGAAAACATCACTACTGATATTTTAAACGTATGTTTTACTTTTCATCAACATGAACCTCAACTTGATATTATGCAGATTGAAGGAAATCACCCATAATTCCATATGAAGAAGGCCTGTGATATTTTATGGGAAAATAAATAGAGAAAATGCTAACAGCAACCCTATTAAGCATGAAGCTTTATGGAGCAAACACAAATCCAGTGGTGAAAGATACACATTCGAGTTCTGTTTGTTGTCTTGGAACAATACAGTTTAGAGGTGACTGGCGGGTGAGGAGAACATATGCGAGTTCACCAAAGAGAAAAGCTGAATGAGGCAATGCCTCTTCCTGACCATATCTCTTACTCAGATAACTATATAATTTATTGCCCAGTAAAGGGTCTATTAAAAAAAATCATATTAAAAGTCATGCAGTGAAGTTGTCCAGGGAAATCAAGACTTAACAGTCTCACTCTGACAATAATGAATAGGGGGGTTCCCTCAAGATAGACTAGGACATGACCCCACACTGGCAGGTAGTAGTAACAGAAAAGAACCCATGGAAAATCTTTACCTTATGCTTGAGGTAAGGACCAGGCTAAAGTGAAAGCCAGACATAAAATTCTATCTAAAATAAATCCACAATCGAAGAAAATATGTGGTGTACAGGCATAAAATGTCTTTACTGGATCATTGAAATAGTAAGATAAATTCAACTTTTTACATTGTTTTCTTTTCCTCCAGTTAGGGCTCGAGGTTTGTCTCTGGAGAGTGACTGTCAATTGGAGCCCTGCCTTTCTGGGGTTCTGGTCAGGGCATTGTGGATGCTTAACATGTGCCTTTCACAGGACACTTCCTTACCCCAGCAGTGGCCAGGTGTGCATACCACGACCAGGCCTCCCTCTCACAGAATATCTGTTGAGACTAGGAGATGCCTGGTGACTGTTGCCTGACCTGTGTCCTGTGTATTTCTGACAAGAGCCACTCTCAGAGACCCTGGCCAGGTGGAGAGTGAGGTTCCAGTGTAGGTCAGCTCAGACCCATGGAGGCCACAGAACAAAGCATGGGAAATCACAGAAGTAGGTTTATTACTCACAGATCGAGAGAGAAAAGGGTAGCTGAGAAGAGGGTTTAGCTGTGTCCCCAGCCAAATCTCATTTTGAATTCCCACATGTTGTGGGAGGGAACAGGTGGGAGGTAATTGAATCATGGGGGCAGGTCTTTCCCATGCTGTTATTCTGATAGTGAATAAGTCTCACAAGATCTGATGGTTTTTTAAAGGGGAGTTTCCCTGCACAAGCTCTCTTGTCTGCTGTCATGTGAGACGTGCCTTTCACCTTGCACCATGAATATGAGGCCTACCCAGCCATGTGGAACTGTGCGTCTATTAAACCTCTTTCTTATGGAAATTACCCAGTCTTGGGCATATCTTTACCGGTGGTGTGAAAATGGACTAATACAGTAGCACACCTCATACGGCTGAACAAAATGGGGAAGATGAGTGGGGAGCAGGAGAGAGAAAAGGGGTCTGTGGGACTCCAGCCTTTATAGGGCCGAGAACATTACCCAAATAAGTTTTCCACGGGGCACTAGTCTGTGGGGTGAGTGCCAGCAGGCACATTTCTTGACTCCCGCTGCAGGTCACTCTGGCATGTGGAGACTGTCCATGTGCGCTGTGAGGTCTGTGGGGTGAGTCAGGTAGGTTGTATCAAACGGTTCCATAGCTGGTAGTCACCAGGAGGAGGCAACTGTGTAGGGTCAATACCTGGGCCAGCCACACTGAGGAACTGTGAGGGTTAGAACTGGAAATTGTCAAGAGAATCTGAACCCAGCTACCATAAGAGAGAGTTCAACTTATGTTCAATGTGAATGCCATGGCAATATTAAAAGGTAAGAATTCGCTCCATACGTGCTTGAGGTAAATAGGAGAAACCTAGAATTTATGTAAACAGTGAGAAGATTGGATGTGTTTTCCTACACATATTTTAATACTAGCAGCATATTATATATGTCAATCCATCAGGCATTCAGAAATACATGCTTATGAAAATTTTTTGCACCATCAGACAAAAGACAAGGGTAGAAGACATTTGTAACCCTATAAACTCTAGTAAATTAAAAACAGAAGGACCTTTATGTCCTAACATATCTGTGTTGTGAAAGGCTGCCCTGTGAAATACGGGATTTCTTAAACATATTTTAAAAATCATAGGTGTCAATATTTTTTAGAAATCCATTTAAATTTTCTCTTGCTGTTTTACAATGCCTATTTATTTATTTAGTGGCTCTGCTGATTTTGTTGTATATCCTAAACTTTACATTTTCTTTAAAGGATGTTTTATACAACTTTACGTAAAATGTTTCAGTATCTTCACATTCTCTCCCTGTCCTTTTGTTTTGCTCTTATATGGTGGTCTTGAGTCTTTTCTCTGGCTTTTCAAACCTAGTAAGACTAAGACACTAAAGTAACTTTGCCCGTGGTTTGGTAATGCCTTCTAAAGCACATCCTAAGCTCTCGTGCATACAGGGGTCTCCTTTGAGCTCTGTGCTTTTGAGATCCCATATACCTAAATTCCAGTATTGGAAATCAGTACTGCTCAGTTTCAGTTACTAAGTTTAAAAATGTATTTTAATAGCAAGTTAGTTTAGTGCACTCTTGCTTCTTTCTTGACTGCTTGTATACATGTATATTCCTTTAAATGAATCTTGGAATTTATTTAAAAATTTTAAATTATACTAATGAAACTGTATACTGTTGTGAATTCATAAGTGAATTTGGAAAGAATTTGTCTTTATGATACTAAATCCTTTTTATCCAAGAATCATATGTGTCTTTATATTTATTCCAGTCTATATTTATGTCACTGAGTAAATATATAGAAATGTAGATACATACAGCTGTAGTTATAGATACAAATATAGATATAACATGTTAAATCTATATCTATCCCATATAACATATATACATGTTATATGTGTGTGTGTGTGTATATATATATGTTTATGTTATTAAAGAGCTCCCTTAAAATTTTTATTTTATTTCCTATATAATTTTAGGTTGAGCTTGAATTTTCCTTGTATAAACAAGCAAATATTTATACTAGTTTTAATACTGATGTTTAGACATTGCATCTTATTTTAGCATGGAATATTTTCACAATTATAAATATTATCTAATATTAATAATGTACCTGTTAAAAATATTTAAAATTTTACCTTTGAATTATTTTATTGTTGAATTAAAATTCCTTTAATATGATAGTAAATTTCTATTTTATGCTTTCTCTATGCATATGCAAATTAATCTATCCACTTCTCTATCTCTATGTAGTAACATATGAAAATCAGACCTCTCTTCTTCTAATGGACATACACATGTTTGCCTATAGAATATCAGACTCTTTATAGCATTTAAAATCTTTAAAGACATGAATATTGCCTTTTAACAAATATATTTTAGCATGTACTGAGAATCCCCTATTTATTTTTAATTTGGGCTAATCAGTATGATTATTAATATTATTGGATTACCAAATTTGGAAACACACTTTCATCCCCAAGGTGGATATTTGTTTTATTTTTTTTTTGGCCAATTTCTTGTGTTACTGTTTCAAATATTGTTGGAAATTATTTTTATTTTATTTGGCATTTTAGTATCAACATTTGCAATTGAGGTACTCTACATATTTTTTCTTCAATATCTGGTGGGTTTTATATTTACTGCTATATTGGATTTGTAGTAGACATTGACAAAAATTATTGCTGTATGTTTTATAGCTGTATGAAGGAAACTAATATATTTTACCCCTAAATATATTTCCTTGATATATTTCAAAATGACTATTGAGAAGGGCTGGAAATGCAAACTTAGCTGCAAAGCTGTCTTGGGGAGATTTGCACCGTTAGAGAGTCTGCCTTGATGCAGCCAGGCTTTCTCTGAGTTCTAACCCCTTGTCTGGATCTAGGAAGGGTTAACTGAGAGTCTGAGGTCTCCAAAGGTCTGAAAGAAACATTTTCTGTCTATTCTCTCTGAGGACTGCTCCCAGTGAGGTTCCACCTATGTAATAAGTCCACTGTTGCTAGCCAGGGTCGTTTTCTCACATAACCTTTTTATATTTTCCCTGTGATCCAAGACCCCATTCTTTCTGTAAACTTCATGTGGTAGATAAGCTTCTGCATGCATCGTGTGTCTGGGTCTTCATTCTAAGGGCTCCAGTGTACACACATTGCAGAAACCTGTATGCCTTTTCTACTATTTATCTGCCTCCTATTAGTGATTTTCAGGGAAACTTCAGAAGGCAAAAGGGACATTCTCCTTTAGCCCATTCTCAGACAAAATCCCCCAACATTTAACTGATTCCTAATAGCTTAACATCACTTTGAAAAATCCATATATTTATAACCTTTTCTTCCCTCTATGATTTCTGGCCAGCTTGGGTTTTGTTTATCATTCCATTTACTTCATCCTCAAAAAGATCTATTTTACATCTATTTATTCTCATTTATGGACCTTGAGAAAAGAAAATAACTTTCATATGAGAAATGCAAGTCCTTTGAAATAATCAGGCCCAGAGAGATATTCAAATGAGACAGCAGTTCTGTCCTGCTCCTCTTTGAGATGTGTGTTCATCTAGGCTGCCGCTGTTACCACAGTAGCTATAAATTAACCAATAAAGCCACACCAGACACTATAATCCACACCCAATAATAGTGTAACAGTGTATAGCCAATCACTAATAAATGTTATTTCCATAAGCCAATGAGAATTTGTGACAAACCTCTTTGCATCATCCCACTTCTGGACCCTTTTTTGCCTTTAAGAAACTGCTTGTTGCAAAGCTCCAAAGGGAGTTCATATCCAAGGATACTTGGGTCTGTTTCTTCCAGGCAGCTGTCCTCATTGTGGCTCAAGTAAACTCTTTGAATTACGTTTTGTGCTTCAGCCCCTTCCACTTAGATTAACAACATGGATTTGTGTCACCATGTACAGCAATTAAAATGTTTACACTTTTCCTCTCGAGGGCACTGATGTGTTTTCCTGAGCACTTGGAATAGCTACATAGTGTTTACTTTCTATACTATGGTTTCTCAACCTTGGTAATATTTACCTTTAGGACCAGAGGATTCTTTGTGGTGGGAGGCTGCCCTAGCAATGCTAGGTGTTTCGTTTGACCTCTAAATTTCACACCTCCACCAGTCTTGACATCCCCACAATAACTCTAGACATTGACAAATGTCTCCTGGGGAAAACTCTCCACCAGTTGACAGCCAAAGTTCTGGAAATATTGGAATTGTCAATTGAGATTTTATGTTATCCAAAACAAATATTTTTCTTTGTTTTTAAACATCTACTTCCATCTACTTATCTACTTATTTTTACTTTTATTTGTAACTTAATTCCATCAAGGAGAGAGAGTGCATTTTCTGTTATGCTAAATTTTTGAAGAATGTATTGATTTTTTCTGACCTGCTATATGGATGATATGTAGATATTACATGTTTGTATTATCAAATTTCAGGGCGATAATAAAATAAATACTTATAATATTTATATTGTCACTGTATATTAGTTATTTTCTTTCTTCACTACAGGAGTTTTTCAACCTATAGGCTATTTTTCAATTCTAGGTTATCCAGTAGATTTTGAAATGTTATGATTAAATATCTACTTCTCAAACACTCATCTTTGCAAAT
This sequence comes from Homo sapiens, assembly GCF_000001405.40. Classification (NCBI taxonomy): domain Eukaryota; kingdom Metazoa; phylum Chordata; class Mammalia; order Primates; family Hominidae; genus Homo; species Homo sapiens. The sequence goes on along the minus strand of NT_187504.1, from coordinate 53,553 downwards.
GAAACAATCCCAAGCTCTTATAATGCACATCATATAAAGGGGAGATTAGTCAATATATGTTTCAGAAATAATTATGTAGTATTTGTAAGAAATTGAAAATTTAGATCCTTAACTCAGATAACAATAATCCAAATTAAAATTTGATTTCATTACATAATTTAAAATGACACCAGAATACTAGTAAAAATGTAGATAAGTTTATATAATCTATTTTAGCTGTAGGACTTTATTAGCATAAATTCAAATACAAGAACCAAAGTAAGATTGAGACCTATAGTCAAAGGTTAAAATGTACACATTATAAGGGCATGATTAAACTAATTTAAAGCATAATAACATGGAGAAATATTGAAAAACATATATTTTACTGAATTAATTGTTAATATCTAATGATTATGTCAGAACAAAATTAAAGAGTAGCTACACACGCACACACCCACACACAAGTGCAATATTGTCAAATAAACGATGTTCAGCTACACTAGAAATCACACCTGTGTTTTCTCCACAGAAAAGATTAAAAATCACAATAATATTTATTGTACATATGGAGGTAAAGATACTCAAAATATTACCCTAAAATACATTTTTTTTGAGATGGAGTTTTGCTTTTGTTGCCCAGGCTAGAGTGCAATGGCACAATCTTGGCTCACTGCAACCTCAGCCTGCCAGGGTCAAGTAATTCTCCTAGCTCAGCCTCCCAAGCAGCTGAGATTACAGGCATGCACCACCACACTCGGCTAATTTTTTGTATTTAGTAGAGACGGTGTTTCACCATGTTGGTCAGGCTGGTCTCCAACTCCTGACTTCAGGTGATCTACCCACTTCAGCCTCCCAGAGTGCTGGGATTACAGGCATGCACCTGGGCAGCTTTTTGACATATTTCAAGATGGCTACTCGGAAGACTGGAGATAGCTTCTTCTACAAGAATAGCTGAAAAGCTGTGTTTGTTGGGGAGATTTGCATTTGTAGAGAAAATCTGCATTGATGTAGACAGGCTTTCCCTGAGATACTCCCTTGTCTGGGTTTAGGAAAGATTAACTGAGCCTGGCACGTTTACATTTCTAAAAACCAATTCCTATCTATACTTCCCAAGAGGAGGGCTGCTCCCTGTGAGGTTTCATCCATGTAACAAGACCACCTCTGCTGTCAGGCTCCTCTTTCTTCCTTGTCATCACCTGTCTTCCGCAAAGCCTGATTTACCAACCTACAGCTCTGTGTTTTCTGTAACCTCAAGACAGCATAGGCGTGTTGACTACCTTGCCTTTCCTGGAGTTTTTATATATATAGCATATATTTGTATATCTATTTATAATATACAAATATTTGTATAGTTATATTTTTATATATTATGTAAACTGCAAGTGCATACTTGTGCACATATCTGTAAACCTTTTTTCTGTTAATTTGTACATTATCAGTTTGTTTTATAGACTGAAATAATTAAAGCTTCAAGGGAAAAATTTAAACTTTCCTATAGAGAAAAGACAAATATGTAGGTGACAAATAATATTTAGAGTGTAAGACGCTCTTTAAAGGTATATTTGCAAATTGTGTCAAAACATTGAAATATACATTTGTTATTTTAACTATAAAATTTCAAATAGTTTAAGCCAAATACATAGTATGTGCAGAAAATTTAGCAATATATCTATGTAGCACCTTACTGTGCATTACTGTAACCAGCCGTCTAATATGAAGAATTAATTAAGGTAGCAGCTACTTTTCAAATAGCGCATTTTTTTACAGACCTATTAAATAAGACCAATAACATTTAAACTTTATTTTTAAATTTGCAGAATAGTAGTTTTCAGCAGATGGTTTATTTTAGCAAATTCCATCTTCACATTGTGCTATGCTTTTATGATTTCCAGCAGTTAATGGATAATATTTTACTGCTGAAACTATCATGTGTGATATAATTGCTCATTATGGGCCTTAAAACACAAGCAATATAATTATTTTCAACTTGGAGCAAATTAAAATCTTATCAGCAATTTAAAAACTCTTGAGTCGTCTTCTTCTGGTTAATTATTTTAAACTTGTATTTTTCTCTTTATGTTTTTAGTGAGTTGTCTTATCAAGGAGAAGAACTCCAGCTGATTATTCTTTTTTTTCTCTTCCATCCACCTCGCAGGTGTGTTAATAATTTCATTTCCCAGAAAATGTTCTTTCATATCCATCTTACAAGATGAGAGACTTTTTAACATCTTCCATTCGGATGTGATACCAGTAATGGAAAATATTCCAGCTTCATGAATATGGTGATACAAATGGTTATCCGTCTAACCTCTTTCAGTGCCAAATGTTTACTCAGTGAATTACTCAGTTGACTGGTAATTTCTTCTGAAATCACTAATGAGAGGATCAGAGTTCTGGCTGTTGTCTGTATCTCATATGACTTCCAGTACAGACAATTGTTTCTATGGAGCACAGACAGTTGAAAGGATTGACTTCCTGCCTAGAATAGTTTCTGCTGTGCTTCTTATCCTTCTTGTGGAGATTTCAGATTATCTGAATTGCTTTTCTATCTTAAGAAAAAACGCAACAATTCTCCCACCTGAGAGGAATGCAAACTGTAGTAAGTTAGCAGAGCCAATCAGTAAAATTTTTACATTGTTTGTTGCAAAATGCAGCGCTGGTGTCTCCATCACTAACCTTTTCTATCCCTCATTGCTCTTTCTTTGACTGCAATAGGATACCTCTAGGCAAATCTGTATTCCCGAGACAGAGTGCCCTTTTGGTGAGCTATAAGCACACTCAATGGTAGGCTGAAATACTAGCTTTTATCTATGGCGAAATGGAATCATATCAGTGATTTTTTTAAAAAGGAAATTTAACTCTTGCTATGGTTTGAATGCTTGCCCCTTCCAATCTCATGTTAAAATTTGATCCCCAATGTTGCAGGTGGGGCTTACTGGAAGGTGTTTGGTCATGGGGTTGGACCTTCATGAATGGATAATACCCTCCCTTAGAAATCTAAAGCTATCTTCCCTCCTCGGTGCCCTCAGGAATGAGTGTACCATTCTTTATTCACCTATAATTCCCCCACCCATCCTTTTTGAGATATTAATTACATGTATGTTACACTGCTGCATATTGTCTGACTTATCAGTGAGTTTCTGGCTTTCTTATTTTGGTTTACCCTTTGTCCTTTAGTTTGTAAAGCTTCTATTTTTTTCTATAAATTTTCTGATGTTTGGGTAAAATCCATTACTTATTCTATCTCATGGAATTTTTATTTCTAATATTTATTTTTCATCTATACATGTCACATTTTTCATTTTATAACTTCTATTTTTCTATATTCAATTTTCATTTAAGTGCCTTGACATATATATGTATTTACCTATATGTATTTATAAAATATGTTTACTTTAAGGACCTTGAAATTTCCTTCTTTTCTGTCATTTATAAATGACTTATTTTTATCTTGTTAATATATGTCTTAAGTATATATATCTTACGGCTTCTTTGCATGTCAGAGTTTTTTTTGGGGGGAGTTTTTTGAGGTTATGCTATTGACTATCTAGATTTTATTGGCTACCTTTGAACAATGTTGTGGCAGGCAGTTCAGTAACTTCAGGATGAGTATTTGTCTGTTGTTGTTTTAAATCTTCTCTTTAAACTTTGTGGAGTTAGTCTAGAGCCATCTGTAATTTGGAGCTATATGAGCACTGTCACTAGGGCATGAAACTCCAGTGGTCTTTACTGAATATCCTGGAGGTACAGAGGTGATTCCCTTCTCTGATTAGAATTTGGAAGATAAAGAGAAAAGAGAAAAATACAAAGCTATGCATAAACACGTGCATTAAAATGAATTTTATGTGGGCTTTTCCATGAAAATGTTCCTAAGGTATTTTATTTTTTTACTGTGGTAAAATACACATAACATAAAATGTACTCTGTTAACCATTTTAAGTGTACAGTTCAGTGGTACTAAATAGAGTCATAACATTGTGCAGCCGTCCCTACCATCCATCTCCATAATTCGTTTCATCTTGTAAAACTGAAACTCTATACCCATTAAAAAATACTTCCCCATTTCTTCCTCCCCCCAGCTTCTGGCAACCATCATTGTACCATCTCTGTAATGCTAATCAAGCATAGTGGCTGTGTTTCTTGCTTCCTCTAGTCCGCAGGTAGAATACAAATGTAATAAACTACTTATTCATGTCACATCTATTTATTTTCTGCCTTATACCAAGCTTGTGGGATTCTCTTAAATACAACATTTTTATACTTACACCTATGCAATACCCATTAGCATCGCCTTCCTAAATCAGGGGAAATTGAGCCTCTGTAAGGTGGAGTAACTTCCTAAGATATAAAACTCAGCATTGAAATCTGTATACTTCAATATCCTGCGCTCTTCTCATTTGTCTTTACTATCTTTTATGTATGTGTTAGATGTCCAATAAATTCTCTTTTTTAAACTGAATTTAAGCCATGGAGCAGTGTTTTGTTGAACAATAAATATGATATAGGACACTCTTCCTCCCTTTCATTTATGATCCTGTTCATGAAAAAGAGAAATTCTTTCATTGTGCTAGAAGCTTAAAATAAGGAAAATGCCACTTTCTACATTAAACAGAAACTGAAGGGAATCAAGGTGAATTGCATGAGACATACAAAACAAGTGGGAAAGAAATCTAGTATAATTTGCCCTTTGTGTACCTTTATTATTTAGCGTTTGAGTAAATGATTCCCCCAAATATCTTCCCATCTTAATTCATGTGTATAAAGTAGACATTTATGTCTCACCTTGTCAAGAAGGGCAAACTCTAACATAAACATTTCCCAAAAATGCTTCCTGCTAAAACATAAGCTCAGTCTGGCAGGAAATGCAGCTCACTTCATAAAGATTAATTGGTAGCTAATGTTGCATGCTGTTCTCTGAACTTGAGTGAAACCTGTCCATCAGGCATACAGGGCATGATGGAAAAGGTGACAACAGAAGATGAATGCTATGTCACTAACCTTCAAAGATGACCTGCCTTTTCTTTCAAATTCTTGATATCTTAATCAAGATATCATTAATTCATCTCTCTTTGCCCTTGGTTCAACATTGTGCTATACCAAAACTCATGCAAAACAATGATCTAATGTAATAAAAATGGCATTTTTCTTTGATCTAGATGCAAGCTAACTGGCATTTTTACAATCCACATATTTCCTTTGTCAATTTTTCATTCTGTATTGGAAGTAATTGATAGGTATTTCTGAAGGGATGAAGGTGTTTCTGTGTTCATTGTGATCCAAACTATTTTTAGACCTAGGGGCGTTTGTAAAACAATTTGTGCCAGCTGACCAAGGATCACTGTGGCAGAAAGCAGCAAATTTGCATAAGATGTCACTGCCTCATAAGTTGGCTTTGAAAACTAGGGGCTTACTCTATAGTCTTATGAATCAAAGGCATTGATAGATGTAGTATAAGATTACAATCATACTTTCCTTTTGACAGTCACATTATAAAGCATGATGTATTGCAATTAATCTCAATTAGCTGATCACAATTAAAATTAATGTTTATTATTGCTGATAAACAATCATGACTCTCCTGTTCTCAAATGTGCAAATAATTCTTGTAATTTTAATACAAATTTGCATATTATTATTAATTGATTTAATCTCATTGCATTTGGTTCATGGATCCAATTTATTAAAATATTGATAATGGGATAATGATTTGTCTCCCCATTTCATGTACACTAAAAACAACAATTCTTACAATGGTCTGCAACCCCATCATGATCTGCCGCATGTTAACCGCCAAAATTCTTTTATATCTTCACCCTTGATCTTACCAGTGGTCCTGGCCACCTCACTGTCCTCTGGACATGCCAACACGCTGCTGCCTTATGACCAAGACTCTAGTTAATTTCTTGGCTTGGAAAGATAGCCCTCCATATATCCATTGATCAGCTCATTCAACTTCCTCAAGTCTTTACTGAAACTTCACATTCTCGATGAGGCCTATTCAGTATTTCAAACTGCCTCCCAGTTGCAACTTTCCAAAACCCCTTACTCTTCTGTGTATTTTTGAAAGGATTTATTGAGATAAAATTTACATAGTGTAGAGTGCACACATTAATGTCTACAAGTCAGTGGCTTTTAGTATATGCACAGATAAGTGGAGCCATCATCACAATGAATTTTAGAGCATTTTCATCACTTCAAAAAGAAACCCCACCTTCTCTAGCTGTTAACATCCTATAGACTCATCCCCTACTCAATCCTAAGCAACCACAAATCTGTTTTCTGTCTCTATAAACTTTCCTATTCTGTTTTCATCTAAATAGAATCATACAATAGGTGGCCTTTTGTGCCTGGCTTCTTTCAGTTGGCATAATGCTATCAAGGTTCATGTACGTATTGGTACTTTATTTCTTTTTATAACCGTATAACATTCAATTTCATGGATATAACATTTTGTTTATCCAATAATATTTTTATTGACATTTGAGTTGTGTTCAGCCTTTGGCTATTTTAAATACTGCTGCTAAAAATAATTGTGTACAATTTGTGTTTGAACACCTCTTTCCAATAATCTGGGTGTATACCTAGGAATAAATTTCTGGGTCATATGACAATTCTATGTTTAATATATTTAGAAGCCATCAAATTATTTTACAAAGTGGCCAGTTCTAGCCATAGAGTATCTAACTGTGGTTTTGATTTGTAGTTGCCTGATGAGTGATGCTATTGAGTATCTTTTTATGGGATTATTGGCCGTTCATGTATCTTCTTGGGAAACACATCTATTCCTATCATTTATCAGTTTTGAGTTGGGATATTTGTTACTGAGTTAAAACAATTTTTCTATATTCAAGATACATATATATACAGACATATAGATACGTGTTTTTCAAATATCTTCTCACAATTTTTGAGCTGCCTTTTGACTTGCTTGGTTGTCCTTTGAAACACCAATGTCTTTAATTTTTAAGAAATTTTAAATATCTAATTTTTATTTTGTTGCTCATGTTTTTGATGTTACAGCTATTTCTTTGCTAGATCCAAAATGCTGAAGATTTTCCCATATGTTTTATTCTAGCTCTGGCATGTGTGTCTTTAATTCATTTGAGTTAATATTTTTGTATGCTTTGGGGTAAGGGTTCCAATTTATTATTTTGCAAGTGGTGATCCACGTGTACGTTGTTGAACCAGTTTGTTCAAAGGCTGTCTCTTCTTCATTGAATTGCACATGGCACCACTGTAAGAATCCATTGACCATAGACACATAGTTTTATATATGGACTCTCAATTCTCTTCCATCAATCTATATATTTTTCCTTCATCAGTATTTTGTTGTCTTGATTACTGATACTTTGCAGTAAGGTTTGGAGCATGGGGGTGTGAATTATCCTAATATGTTTTCTTTTTTCAAGATTATTTTGGCTATTTTGAGTCCCTTACAATTCCATGTGTATTTTAGAATCAGCTTGTCAGTTTCTAGACAGAAGTCTGTTGGAATACTTGCAGGGATTTCATCAAATCTGTAGTTCAAATTGTAAAGTACTACAGTATTAAATCTTCCAATTCATGGCTGTAAGATGTTTGCTAATTACTTAGATATTCTTTAAACAATAATTTTTAATTTTCAGAGTAAAATCTTGTATCACATTTTCCAAATTAATTATTATTTCTTTTTATGATGCTATTTTAAATTGAAGTGTTTTCTTAATTTCATTTTGGGGTTTTCATTGTAGATGTGTGCAATTGATTTTTGTACATTTATCTTGTATGCTGTAATATTGCTGAAATAATTTACAAGTTCTGTCGTTCAGTGGATTCCTTAACATTTTCTATACACAAGAATGTTATTTTCAAATAAAGTTTTATTTCTTCCTGTTCAATATGGGTGACTCTTATTTTTTTAGTTGCCGATTTGCCCTGCATAAAATCTTTAGTACAGTATTGACTAGAAGAGGTCAAATTATATATCCTATTCTTATCTCTGACCATAGCGGGAAAGCATCCTTTACCATTAAGTTTCATGCTTGCTGTTGGCTTTTCACAGGTGCCATGTATCTGGTGTAGAAAGTTCTCTATTCCTGGTTCATTGAGTTTTTATTTTTATTTTTAATCATTAAAGCATTTGGATTTTGTTAAATGTCTTTTCCGAATCTATCGAGATGATCATGCAATTCTCGTTTCTTATTCTATGGATAAGATGTATTACCTTAATGGATTTTGGGCTGTTAAACCAACCTGGGAATACTTGTATAAATTTCACTTTGTCATAGTGTATAATTCTTTTATATGTTGCTAGTTCTGATTTGTTAGTATTTTTTAAGGAATTTTGCATTTATACTTATAGTAGTTTTATTTTTCTATGCTATTTGGACTAATTTTTGTATCAAGGTAACACTGGCCCCAAAGAGTAAATTGGGAAGTGAATATTTCTTTTTAAAAAAGCTAGTCAAGGATATCAATTATTCAACACTAACAAATATTATAAATTATTAATTTCTCTAATTTTTATTTTCTTCCTTCTGCTTGCTTTAGGTTTAGTTTTTTATTCTTTCCAGTGCTTTAATGTGGAAGGTCATCTTATCCCATCCTTTCATTTGTCTTTTCATTCTCTAAATAGTGTCTTTTTAGCATCAGGTGAGCTCCCCAGGTTGGTAGTACTCCATGTTTATTGCTGTACAACAATGACAGATAGTATGTCCTGAAGACAATGGAAACTTAACATTCAAAATCTCCTAGATTCCACCTTATATGTCTCTCCAATTGGTCCTAATTTCTACCCTTTCTCTATTATAAACCGTAAGTACAATGGCATTCAATGAGTTCTGTGAGTCTTTCTAGTAAATTCTTGAAACTGAGGGTGTTCAGGGGAAACCCCTGAACTGGCAGTTGGTGTCAGAAGTGAGAATCGTCTTATATGGCCTCTTCCTTTGAACTTTGCAGCTGGACGCAAACTCTGCACAATTTGGGCCAGAAGTCTCGTGTTGACTTTGCAGCTTAAAGTATCTTGTAGTTTGTCTAACCCTCAATAAATTTGCTTTCATCAAATATTGTATTTGTTACTCCAAAATTACCATCACGTTTTTTTTCTCCAAATAACTAACATTGGGAGAAATAGCCAGCTGAGTCTGTAACTCAACAGAAACAAGTGATCCATATACCATATACCATATAAGTGGCCATTTCATTTTGCCTTCTTCCACCAAATCTTAGCAACCTTAACCACTGCCATGAGCCACTGTATGCCTACCAGCTACAAACAAACAAGTATCTTTTAAAAACACTTCATACTCCCATTTGATAAATTTCCCAGCAAAGAGATGCCTACTTTAACTCTATGCAAGTGGCTCATATGCACTAAGTCTGTAGATATTATTCATGTAGTGTGAGAAAATCATCCCAGCGATGCCAGCACATTCTCCTTCCCATGATCTGCTTAGTTTGCAAACATATTCAGGCCATGGGTGAGAGATTTGTATTTCACAGTACAACAGTTTTATGGAGGGCATTGAAACTTACATTGAGCATTTTAGTACAGCCACACATCACTGAATGATAGGGATACGTTCTAACAGATGCATCCATAGGCAATTTCATCATTTTGCAAACATCACAGGGAATATTACAAACACCTAGATTGTACAGCCTACCATGTCTAGGTTATATGGTATAGCCTCTCTCTCCCAGGCTACAAACCTGTGTACTACCTTACTGTACTGAATACTGCAGGCAATAAGAACACAGTGGTAAGAGGTTATGTATCTAAACATACTTAAACGTAGAAAAGTATGTAAAAATATGTATTATAATCTCATGGACCACTTTTGTATTTGTAATCCATCTTTGACTGAAATGTTATTATGCATGACAAGACTCTATGACAAAAATAAAATAACACATCGTAAAAAATGTACACAGATATCAAACATATTAATATTGTAAAAATAAAAATATTTATTCAGTGTAAGAATTTGTAATGATCACAAAATGTTCACAGCTTATATTTTAGTACAGTTTCAAATGCCTGGTGCAATTACTATTTATTTCTGTGTGTATTTTAAACATGTATATAATAAATATTTTTCAGGTTCAACAATATATATCAATCCAACTGGCTCTTATAAATATTAGTTAAAATCAATTAGTAAATTCATATATATATATATATACACACGTGTATCAGTCTGTATGCATGTATGTGTGTGTAAATGTAACTGTGTGTGTAAATGTAATTGGATGCATCCTAATATTTACCTTTACCTACAAGATTTCCAAGATTCATTTATTATCTTTAGAAGATGTGCTTTTATAGATTTACCAAATAAAACTGTAATCGTGGAAAATATCAAGATGTTATTAAATTCACCTTGTGCACATAATTGTTTCTTTAAATTTATATTTCTTGCAAAACTTGCGGTAATGCTCATGTACAAAATAATTTTCTAAATAAAAAATAAAAACATTTTCTCAATCATTAATTCTTAATAATTATTTCTCCCCAATAATTAATGTGAATTAATTCTTAATTCTTAATTATAGAATAATGTTGCCCTTCAGAGTTCTGAATCTTTTGCATGTTGCATACATTTCACTAACTAGAACAACTTCTGGAATATTGGCATTAATTAATGTCACTCAGCAATTAATGATTTCAAAGAAATTAAATACCATTCATATTCTGAATCACAAGGGTACTTTGGCATCTAATTTAATCAAGCTCTTTGTATCATCATCTACACTTTAATTACTTAACAAACATTTCTCTGTGTGAGAAAGATTGAGCAGGTTATTGTGCTTTTTTAAGATGCAACTTTTGCTTAATCTAGAGATAGGCAATGCTCCCTATAAGGGACAAAGAGAAAAATGAAAGAGCAATAGAGATGTGACAGGCATGGAAAAAGACAATACATTTATCAAACAAATAGGGCCACAGATGATGATAAAGGGGATCAAATCTTGAGACGCTGACTCAGTTTATAACCGCACTGTACAATACAGCAAATCATTTGTTAATTTTTTTACAAATGGAATTTAATTTAATTAAGATGAATACAGTGTTTTAAACAAGGCTGGTCATCTTAAAATAAAATAGTGGAATAAAGTGATAAAACCAATGTAAAAATCATAAACATTTTATAAAGAATTTTTGTCATGTAATTTTTTTCTTTATTTAAAATCACCCAAATCAAAATAATTTTATCTTAATTAACAATCATCAGAAGTTAACTAATTTTTACTTGATAATACTAGGTTTAAAAATTCTTAACTATATTTTTAATCATATATGATTATACATAAAATAGACAGGGTATATGTTTACATGTTCACAATATTATATTGTAATTGTTCCTATGGATGTGGTTTTTCAATAGAATTAATAAGTACTTTTAAAAAGTTTCAATTTCAATGATATATATGTTTGATTTTTCTTTGAAAAAGCATACATATATTGATAGGTAATAAGAAGAAAATCTTCTAAAGACATTACAGGAACATGAATAAGTAATTAAATCCTCAATAATTTGTAATGTTTTATGTAAGCGGAACACATTTAACTGAAAATTGCTTTTATGTAATACTCAAACGAGACTAAAAACATATTAACTAGCGGAGTAAGTCTTCAAATTGATAATCTGAACTATATAAGAGGAGAAACTTCAAGCACTCAAATATTTGAAATGCTACAAAATATTTATATAAACTATTATTTAACAATTTCTGTTTGTAGAGTGCTATAGAGTAATCAATATAAATGACATCTCAGTCTTTCTATGGCTTTGACCACATTTACCTCCTAATTTTAATTATTAATATGTTGGAGCAGTGCATACAACTAGATTCCGATCTTCCTTTTTAATGAGTAAAAATATGTCCTTTGAGACAGCATTAAAGAAAGAGCACCTTGTATATAAATTCAATGCGAAGAGACAAGATATTCTTGATTCTGAAGTCTTGTTCTTTGATACAGCAATGTAATTAATAATAAGAAGAAAAGCAGGACATAGATATGGAGTCTATTTTAATCAAAAATTGTCTATAGATTTTGATAAAATTTAAAAATCTACTATATTTAGTTAGTCACAAAAAACCAGGTTGTGGGAACATATTTGGTCAATAAAACACCCCTATCAATTGCTGACAAGAAAAAAAGTTAGGTACCACCTTTCTTCTCTGCAGATGGCCTGAGATGGGTTAATTTGAAAGAATGCTTCCAAACCTGAGGTGACCCCTGAGAACAGCATAATCCACTGCTGTCTCTTACATTCAGTTTCTCAGTCTGTGCTCTTTTAATTTTGGGGGGAGGGAAGCCAGTCCTTTAAAGCGATCTTCAGCATGATGGCAGAGCCAAGGAGTGTGGACAGGTGGCACGGTGTCTGACTTTGTTCCATCAGCCACTTGGGCTTTCTCTGGGTCTTCTCTGCCCTAGGGATAGCACTACTATTGAAAACATGTCTTTGTGACATTGTCTATGCCAGGAACTCCCAACATATTTTCCTTGAAACTGATGAAATGAATAAAAATAAACCAAGGGGTGTGCTGTTTGTTTCTGTTTCCTCCTTTCTGCAGCCCTTCTTGATCATCTAATATTTTTAAATACATTCTCGATCACCAAAAGGAGCATACGGGCTTCATTGGTTTGTAGCAGATGTATTAATAGCCCAGCCCCTATTCCTTACCTGTAGCTGCTGGGAAGAAAACCATTCTTAACACTCTACAAGGTCTCATCTCCAGAATTTGCACCTGTTTCTAGCTGAGGACTTTCTCTAGCAGCACGGGAGCTTGTGACTGGGCATGAAGTGGGAAGAAAAGCTGAGGGTAACTAGGAAGAATCTCCCTGGATTCAGTGATGTAATTCTGAGGCATGCTCCACATAGCTTCCCATAAAATTAAGCCCAGATATCTAACACAGGAACTTACCTCTTAACACGTGTGGTATTGGCTTGTCTCTCTTTCCTGTTTTATTTTGTTCTCTTTTCCTTGTCTCACTTTCACTGTGTCCTCACTCCTGCTTTAAGAATACCCAAATACGTTCATTTATTTTTTTAGACTCTCAGAACACAGTTGATAGTTGAACTTCTAATCTATGATAATCAGCTTGGATGCAATACTGACAGGAAGATGGTGAACTCACAATGTCTAATTAAGATACAATTTAAAAAATATATTGAATCATGTCCAAAGATTTAAAAAACCTAAGCGGCAGTGTCACAATTTCTTCTTTTTAGTTTACATGGTTTCTTAAACGCCTACAATTATTTTAAAGGAAGCCTTGAGTCTAGGAAAAATTGAGACATATGGAATAAATTACTAACCCATTTCTCCTTGAAATCCATTAGATGATTGATGATTTTTTCACATATATTTCTGAACTGAAAAGCTAGTTGGGAATTATTTTTATAAGCATATCCTTATGTAATATTTTGTTTCTAACAGAGAATTGAATGTTTAAAGATTAAATTATTCTATCCAGAGAATAAAAAGCAATTATTTCACAAGGAAACCATGTGTATGTTGACACGACATTTTAAAATCTAGATTTTAAAATAGGTCCCATATAATTTTGAGTCAATTAGAATATGTTTGTATCAGTCTGTCTACAGTTTTACACCTGTCAAAAGGTACTTGAACTAAAAGAAGTACCTTGAACAATTTTGAAATTTATTATTCCTCTGAAACTGATTAAAAGAATTATGGTAGAGTGAAATTCTGATTGGCATAATTTGGGAGAGAAATTATTCCTTGGAGATCAACCTCTGCCAAGATAGTTTATAACAACATTGAGACTTTTTGATTTACAAAATTTGTTATATAAAAAATACTAAGACGATGACAGATAATACACAGACTAATTAAAATTGTACTAGAATTAATTGTCTAAATAAATTACAAGGGTACGTGGTACATCTAAATGTATGTTTATATATTTTATTTGTGCATTTTATTCCTAGGGTTGCTTTTGCTTTAGTTTGTAAAACGTTCTTATTTTTATGATAATGTAGTATATACTAAATAAAGAAAAATCAGGAAATAGAAAATGAAGAAGAAAACATTAGCTATTGTCAACCAAATAAAAATCGTGCAATCTCTAAGTACATGAACGATGTATTATTTGTACAGCATGTACAATGTTTATGCTTCACAGGGTGAGGTAGAGACTGTAAAATATTGAACCTGGGAAAAATAAGAAAGTAAGGACATTTTCACAACATATTAATATAGAAAATGTTGAACTTAACAGTTAAGATACAAGTAGTGAAAAATGATAGTATTTAAGGAGATCTAGAAAATTTAATCTATATCAGTAATGTGTGAGAAGTATTAGAATAATGCTTGTATTTCTGGATTGGCATCGATTTCTATTGAGACTGGAAATGTAACAGAAGTGAGCAAAAAAGAATTTAAATTGTGGATACTTGAGTTTTATACCTAGGAGTTCGAGAAATACATTTTGTTACTATCAAAGCAGTTGGCACAAGAGTGTACAAAATTCCCTAATTGTGTCTATGTGGAGAAGACATAGACAAACAGAGAATAGCAAAACAGAAATAGCAAAAAAGCACAAATAAATTTTACCTGTATTTTTAAGTAAAAGCCAATTAGAGAAGGAAAACATGAAATTTGTGTTTTATCAAAATTTTTCTCTTTCTCATAATATAGTTGAAAATATTACTGCAAAAAAATTTGAAGCACTGGTATGTTCACAAAAAAAGTAAAATATAAGGTCAAAACCATGGGAATGCAGGGAGCAGACAAAATACACCTAAACACTGAAACTGATTTTGCCCTACAGACATGTAGCAAAATGAATGAGTGCAGATTCCTACTGTCATACATCACATAGGACAGTAAAGAAATACATAGTTTTTCCCAAGATAGGGCATCACACAGGAGATCTTCCCTAAAGCTAGGACCAAAATTTATATCCTCAGTATAAAGTAGAATCAGAGGTAAATTAGTCCCATTTCACATTCCCTGGAAATGGCAAATAAAAATGACTTGAGATTGGACGGATTTAAAGAAACTCAATCATTAATGATTTACAGCAATTAATTTAAAAATCGTTTAAATGTGCAGTCCAAACATATGTCCAAACACCTTTAGGCCAAGAATTAATATAATGTGGTCCCAGAATGGTGGTGCCTTTAGAAGACTCACAACAAATTCAAATTCTCTTTGGCAAATTTTCTTCTTACTAATATGCAAAAGTGCACAATAATAATTTTCAGAGAAAAATAAATCTTTGTCATTCAAAGGCATCTAAGTATGCAAGGAAATGATATTCTACCATTTGAAAGGAAAGCAGAAAAAGAGTACAAACCGATCCACAAAGGTTCATTAGTAGAAATATCACTGTTAGATTATAAAGCTCATTTAATTTCAAAAAATTTTAAAAAAAATGAATATATTTTTAGGAGACTAAAAAATTGATGTAGCAAATTTGAAAAGTAGTTTGTATATAGTATTTTAAATTAAAAACTCAAAAATGAACTCATCAGATTAGACATGGCCATGGTGAGAGTTCATAAATATTTCAGAATGCATTACAGAAAATTTTAAAAAATGCACAATGTGGACAGAATCATGAAGAGACATGGAAGATACAGTGAGAAAGTGTAGCATGTGTTTAGTGAGGGTTCTCTTAGAAGAAGGGAACTGGGAAGGGACAATATGTGATGGTATTTTGGCTGAAAGTTCTCTAGACTCTTGTAAGACACTAATCCGCATATTCAAAAATTCTATGCATGCTAAGCAAGCTACAATGGAGATAAACCTACCTCTACATATCTCCTAGAGAAATAGTAAACAATCAGGAAGGGAAAAATATTTCAATTAGCACTAGAAAAATCAAATTACCTTTAATCATATTGAAATCTGAAAGCATGAAAGGTAAAATAAACAATATTATTTGTTAAGAATAATAATGCCATTCTGAAATTCTCAACCAAGAAAAATATTCATCAACCTATGGCTAAATAACATATTTAGAGACAAAAAACAAAACACCACCAGCAGAATTCCACTAAAGAAACTAAAAAGAAACTCTGAAAACATGCTTCAGAAAGATTGAAGTTCTGAAATCAAAGAATGAACACAGAGAAAAATATATTGTAAACATACAGATAGATCTAAATAAAAAATTAGGTGTTGAAACAAAAAGATATTTAAAATTAGATAAGCACTGCAATATGTATGTTAGGAAGCAAATTATTAGGGCTGAAGTATTCAAAGACCCCTTAATTGTCTGACAAGAGCAGAAAGGTATGACTTTGCAACTTTTTTTTTTTTTTTTTTGAGAAGGAGTCTCACTCACTCTTTCTCCCAGGCTGGAGTGTGGTGGCGCCATCTCGGCTCACTGCAACCTCTGCCTCCCAGGTTCAAGCAATTCTCCTGCCTCAGCCTCCTGAGTAGCGGGGATTACAGCCAAGTGCCACCATGCCTGGCTAATTTTTGTATTTTTAGTATAGACGGGGTTTCACCATGTTGGTCAGGCTAGTCTCCAACTCCTGACCTCGTGATCCACACGCCTCGGCCTCCTGAAGTGTTGAGATTACAGGTGTGAGCCACTGCGCGCGACCGACTTTGGAACTTTAATAAATTGACTGGACATTATGCATTTCTCTGTTGTATCTATGAAAACAATAAAAATAAAAGTCATAATTTTAAAACAAGAAGACAGAAACTGATAGGAGAAAATGAGACAGTATATATATATATATATATATATATATATATATATATATACACACACAACAAATTAATAATACAAAATTAAGTATAAATGATCAAAGATTAACTTAAACCTAAGTAGACAATGTTTTTGTTAAAATACAAAGATTGGCAAAATTTAAAACATCTGTCTCTATCATAGTTACAAGAGAGGCAACTAATATATAAATTTACAGGAACTTTGAAGTTTGAACAATACAGATACTGTGTATATATGATATACATACAAACATACTACATGAATATAATTTTTTAAAAAGTTGTTATGTAGACAAAACAGAATGTAAGTTAGAAATATTTATTAAAATAAGTTAGTCTAACCAGTGTGATAAAAGTTTTAAGTTATTAAGATGTGATGACTTAAATGTGCATTAGCCTGATACATACATATATATATACACACAAACCACACACTCTCTCACACACAGAGACACACACATATTTAGAGAGAGAGTCAAATTATATAAAGCAAAAATATCAGAAAGTAGAAATGGATAAGCCCCCAAATATTATAGACATTTCAAACACACATCTTTCAATAATAGATAAAAGAAAAAATTAAAAGAGTAAGTTTTAAAAGAAGCTAGTGGATTTTAAAAAGGGCAAATATTATATAAGGAACATGAATATTATAATTCATGTTATTTTATTGTTCATACAGAATACTTACAAAAATTAACATTTTCTAGACCATACCACAAATTCAAACAATTTTCACGGAAATAACGTGACACAGAATATACTTCCTAAACAAACAGCAATGAAGGCAGATATCAATACAAAAACGAAAGCTAGAAACATAAGTCTAATAATATTGGTTGGAAGCTATTTTAATGAATATTGAAATATTTTAAAGGTGAATAGTCCATACAAATAAACCAAACACTTTTTTAAGGCCACTAAGATGCATGTGTAATGTGTAATGCCTCCTTTTATAAGGAGTCAATCTGTAACATCACCTGGGCTATTTGACAACTGCAAAGTGAATGTGAGAAGGAGAGAAACAGTGAGAGAGAGAGAGAGAAAACAAGTAAAATAAAGAATGAAGGAGATAGCGAGGCGCCATGGTTCACTCCTGTAATCCCAGCACTTTGGGAGGCCGAGGCAGGTGGATCACCTGAGGTCAGGAGTTCGAGACCAGCCTGGTCTAACATGGTGAAACCCACTATCTACTAAATATACAAAAATTAGCCTGGCATGGTGGCATGCATCTGTAATCCCAGCTACTCGGGAGGCTGAGGTGGGAGAATTGCTTGAACGTGGGGGGTGGAAATTGCAGTGAGTAGAGATCACGCGACTGCACTCCAGCTTGGGCAACAGAGAAAGACTCCGTGTCAAAAAAAAAACAAAAAAAAAAAAAAAACGAGGAAATAGTACACGAAAAAACAGAATTAAAGCAACTGGGTATATATTTAAAAATGCAAAAGCTCACTTTTTCAGAAAAATATTAAAATATTAAATCTAACAAATATCTAGGTAGACTAATGGAGAAAAATACAGAAAATGCACAAAAAACCAATTACCTGGAATGCGAACGTTACAAAACGTCAGCAGTTGTAGATTTTAAATAAGCATTGTTTTTTAGTTCAACCATGATGGGTTATATTGAAAAGAATCTCTCAGAAAAAAAGAAAAAGAAAACTGTTATAAAGCTATGTACAAAATGTTAAGCAGTATTAAAGTCTTCCAAATCTACCAGTTATGGAGTTATTGGTCTTGGACTAACTCTCCTGAAAAGAAAAAAACAAAACAAAACAAAACAAAACCTAAAAACCTGGATAAAATGGCCTACCGTGGGCACTGGCAATGCCTCCAAGCAGGTAGGACCTGGGTGCTACATTCTCTTTGTCAGAACACAAAACATTCATACACTCTTCTCACCCTCACTTTCACCTTTTAATCTTAGATCTACTATTAAATGTATTCAACATTACTATCAATCCTTTGGTCAAAATTTCTTTACTCACATTGTGCTTGATGCACTTGGATAGACTGTTCAAGAACGTGTGAGTAGTGAATTCCTCAAACTCTTGCATATTTAAAATCACATTTTTGAACCTTGATGCTTGAAGTGTAGCTTGGGTAACAGATGACCTTTAAGCCAATTTTGGCATGCAAGGGGTTGTTTATTAGGCATCAGCACCGCTGAAAATCGTGGGGATGCAGGCTTAATTTCAACACTATTCTAAATACTTGGAAGATATTATATAATTCTTTAATAAACTCCTGTGTCTACAAATGGTTCACATTAACTCAATATCCATGATTAAACATCTATAAAATCAAGACACTGTTATTTAGTGGAGACTTGCTGGCTATTCTATGAGAGGAGGTATTGTTATTGTAATCTCATCCTCTCATAAATGTGTATCATATTACTCATAACCAGCCCTTCATATTCTATTCCTATTTTGGTATTTTAAAATAAGATATCTCTGAAACACTTGAATTCAAAGAGGGAATCTGAATAATTTTTAAAATGTCAATGAAATGCCATTTCTTCATGCTTCAACAACTAAAAATTGACTAAAGTGCTTCTCTTCAAACTTTCTGGAACATTTTTTTATCTAAATTCTAAGAACAATCACATTAGGTTTTAACCACGAATGTGAGAATATTCTAAATGTTAGGGTGGAAAATTTTTTTAAATAAATTTATAGTAATTTTTTTCATCATAGTGACAGTGTGCTAAATTTTTTTAAGTCAAATATTACTGTAGACATTTAAGTCAGGATTCTAAGAAGCTGTCCTAAAGTCGAAAATTTAGTTTCATATACAATGATATTATATATATGTTTGCATAAAAAATTAATGTGAGCCATGTTTCAAATAGTTGAGAGATTATTATATCAAAGATTCTTGATTATATAAAATGCCAATTATAGGCACACGTGCTTTAAATAATTACAAAGGCAGTTGTGGTTGATTCTACTCTTGCTACTGGCATTTATATGGACATAATATTATGGTCTGAAGAATATTTAGGCAAATTTATTCCTCATATGATCAGAAGAACAATGCAAGATAGTTTATATCTGAAAGGAAAAAATCTTTATATGGTTCTGAAAGCGTAAATCACTAACAATTTGGATAATAATTAGCATAAAAATACACAAACATGCCCTCTTCCTAGCTGTAAGTACAAAGTGACAAGAGAATCAAAGCATGTGGCTATGTGCCTGTTTATATTTCAAGACGCAGAGCACCCTATTCCTCTTCTCTGCCCTTTCTAGTTGGCACAATTCCTCATGAATCTAAGTGCAGCCATAGGGTGGATTACGGTGACCTGCCATTTGTATGCAACTGATCTCTATTTTGGAAGTCATTAATGTAAAAATATATTTTTAAAAGATAAGTTCAAATTTCAGGGCAAACTAGCATGGTTTCACCCCTTTTCTTTGTAACATTTTTTCTAATGTTGGAAAAGTAAGGTAGGCTTTAGTACGATTTTAAATAATAAGTTTTCAAAGTGAGACGCAAAATGGTGGCGCCAACACATTTCAAATCTGCTACATTTTGAATACACTTATTGGAGAAAAGACCTTCTCATCATTTTTCTCTTACAGGAAAGGAAATAACATGTACAGTTGACCCTTAAGCAACACGGAGGTTGGGGTGCTGGCCCCCCTGCACAGTAGAAAATCCACTATAACTTTGACTCCCCCAAAACTTAACTACTAATAGACTACTCTAAGCCTTACAAATAACAGTCAATTAACCCATATTTAATATGTTATATGTCTTATATACTGTATTCTTAACAAACATGCCAGAGAAAAGAAAAAAGAAAATCATAAGGAAAATATATTTACTAATTATTAAATGGAAGTAGATGATCAAACAGGTCTTCATCCTCATCCTTTTCATGGGCAGGGTGTGGATAAGGATGTAGAATTGTTGGTTTTGCTAAGTGGACGTGCACAGTTCAAACCCCTGTGGAGCAAAGGCCAACTGTATAGCCATTGAATAGCAATTTATTTTTAGAAATTAACCACACTAAAATACTCTTAGAAGGATGCCAAGAAAAAAAATGGATAAGTATTTTTCATCTATTTCATCATTTCATTATTTCATTTCATTTCATCATTTCATTTCCTCATTTCATCTCATTTCATCATTTCATTTCATCCTTTCATTTCATCCTTTCATTTCATCATTTCATCTCGTCATTTCATCTCATTTTATCATTTCATCTCATTCTTTCATTTCATTTCATCATTTCATCTCAATATTTCATTTCATTTCATCATTTCACTTCATCTCATCATTTCATCATCTCATGATTTTATTTCATCTCATCATTTCATTTCATCATTTCATCTTTTCATCTCATTTCATCAATTCATCATTTCATCTCATTTCACTTCATTTCATTGTTTCATTTCATCATTTCATTTCATCACTTCATCTCAACATTTCATTTCGTCATTTCACTTCATCTCATTTCATCATTTCATCTCATGATTTCATTTCATCTCATCATTTCATCATTTCATTTATTTCATCATTTCATCATTTCATCATTTGACGTCATGTCATCATTTCATCATTTCATATCATTTCATCATTTCATCTTTTCATTCCATCATTTCACTTCATTTCATTTCATCATTTCATTTCCTCATTTCATCATTTCATTTCATCCTTTCATCATTCCATCTCATCATTTCATCGTTTCATTTCATTATTTCATTTCAGCATTTCTTCTCATTGTTGCATTTCGTCATTTCATCATTTCATCATTTCACTTCATCTCATCATTTCATCTCATGATTTCATCTCATCATCTCATTTCATCTTTTCATCTCATTTCATTTCATCATTTCATCTTTTCATCTCGTCATTTCATTTGATCATTTCATTTCATCAATTCGTCATTTCATCATTTCATTTCATTATTTCATCATTTAATCATTTAACTTCAATTCATCATTTCATCATTTCATATCATTTCTTCATTTCACCATTTGATCTTCTCATTTCATTTCACTTCATCATTTCATTTCATCATTTCATTTCCTCATTTCATTTCACCATTTCATCATTTTATTTCATCATTCCATTTCATCATTTCATTACATTTCATCATTTCACTTCATCTCATCATTTCATCTCATGATTTCATTTCATCTCATCATTTCATCTTTTAATCTCATTTCATTTAATCATTTTGTTTCATTATACCTTTTCATTTCATTTCATCATTTCATTTCATTTCATATCATTTCCTCAATTCATTATTTCATCTTTTCATTTCATTTCACCATTTCATCATTCCATTTCATCATTTCATTACATTTCATCATTTCACTTCATCTCATCATTTCATCTCATGATTTCATTTCATCTCATCATTTCATCTTTTAATCTCATTTCATTTAATCATTTCGTTTCATTACACCTTTTCATTTCATCATTTCATTTCATCATTTCATATCATTTCCTCAATTCATCATTTCATCTTTTCATTTCATCATTTCATCATTTCATTTCATCATTTCACTTCATTATTTCATTTCATTTCACCATTTCATGTCATCATTTCATCATTTCATCATTTCATTTCAGTGATACATGTATTTAAGTGCTAATGCGATGCCCAGGAGACACCCTATTTCCCTTTGTAAAACACCTCCTTCAACAAAAGGCAACTTCTCATGGCTGGCTAAGTCTACAGGGACACCAGCCTCTCTTCAACCACCCAATTTCATTTAGAACCTCAAACAGCACCTCAGTTTCATAAAAACCTAAAACATAAACACAACACTTGGTTGTAAGTGAGCCAACAGTTGTCTCTTTCTCTGCTCAAGGCTTAAGGCCATGTCTCCCCAGCTACATTCAGTGGAAGAAAAGATCCCCTGGACAAATAAGTTTGAGAATTATTGTTGCAGGAATTCTCAGAACCTTCAAAACACAAATCCTCATCCGCAGGGATCTTCAGGAGGGAGATGGCTGATGCAGCACAACTTTCTTTCACAGGAGTACCTTGCAGAATACAGTATGAGATACAGAAAGGCTGCATTGAGTCTTTTTAATGGCCCGGGCCTTGGTGGGGGTGGGGTAGGAGCTCTGAGTAGGAACATTCAGGTGGCTTTTTTTTTCTCCTTATTGGCAAAACTGTGTGTACACCATGAATGAAGCTGGTCTCCCTTATCCATATCAAAACCAAACCCAAATTAATTGGCTAAATTGGGACTCAACACCTCCAGGAGCCACGCGGCAGAAAGCCCCAACACACTTTAAATTAGCTTACCTCATCATATTTGAGGAAAGCAAAATGCTTATGACCAGTATGCTGCTAATACAAGTCTACAGATAATGCTGTATGAAAAACTAGTTTTCCCAATCATAGCTGGCATAGTCCACATTTTGCATTACACTTCCCACCTTTTTTTAAATTTTAAACACAGGTCTTTTTCTCTTTTTTTAAATTTTAATTAAATTATACAAGACGGAGTGTCAGTATGTTGCCCAGGCTGGTCTTCAACTCCTGAGCTCAAGCGATACATCCGTCTCTGCCTCCCAAAGTGCTGAGATTACAGGCCTGATACACTGTGCCTGGCCTTAAACACAAATCTTAATTCATTCTTACAATTATTCTGAGGTTACAAAAATGGAAGGGGAAGAAAAATGGCAAGCAGGTAGGCTGACTTCGGCTTCATTATTTGGAAGGACAGTTTGCTTGGTTAAAACACACTACTGCCTACAAAGGCCAAGACAACAGAAAAATACAGACTTACATAAATAGATTTTATATGTGACAGCAGTTTGAACGGAGACTTTTTCAATGCAATGAGAAACAGCTGTGATTGGGAATAAATGACAACGAATTTTTTTTATCTCAACAGCTGTCCTGAGAGCATGTCTCTACATCTCTACCTGCATTCTGGAATCAGGGAGAAAGCCAAAACGGACGACAAGACACTAGATCAGCCGTGTCCAACCCTTTGACTACAAGGACTTTTCCGCCTATCTGTGGTGGTGGGTATCATGAAAATTATGCAAAAACCTTTTTTTTTTTAAGCTCATCAGCTGTTGTTAGCATTAGTGTATTTTATGTGTGGCCCAGGAGCATTCTTCTTCCAATGTGGCCCTAAGAAGCCAAAAGACTGGACACCTGTGCACTAGATCAAAAGTCTACTCCTTCTGGAAGCAATTGTAAAGAATTTCTGACATTATCTTGACATGAAAACCAATAGATAGTGGGACAGAATGCAAAATCTTCAAGAATTTTTAATGTCTTTTTTTTTTTTTTTGAGTCACAGTCTTGCTCTGTGGCCCAGGCTGGAGTACACTGGTGAGCTCACAGCTCAGTGCAGGATCAAGTGCTCCTCCCACCTCAGCCACAGTAGTAGCTGGGACTACAGATGTGCACAACCACCCCTGGCTAACATTTTATTTTTTGTAGAGACAGGGTCTCACTATATTGTCCAGGTTGGTCTCAAACTCTTTGACTCAAGGGATCCAGGACAGGATAAGAGGTGGGAGCCACCACACCTGGCCATGTGCATGAACTTTTAAGACAAACAAAAGGCCCCACAAAAGTTAAGGTTTTCCCACCTAATTTCCAGGGGATCTTTTGGTGCAAGGATGAGAAACCCTTAAAAGTACACAGACAACTCCAAAGATTCAAGACAGTTCATTCGGGCTGAGCCAGCTCACTGGGCAGACTGACCTTCAAAAAAGGCCCACCCATGACATACACCAGATGGCTCTACAAGAATCTCTTCAGTCCTCAGGGTCCCTAAGATACTGGACAGAGCTAGGAAAGCAAACCCATTTGCTTCTTCCTGCAGGAAACCCCTTGAGGTCAAGACCCCACAATCAGACAAGGATGGAGTGGCTCACCCTCAGTAAACAGGCCAGACTCAAGGTGGTATAATGTCTTAACCAAGAGTGTGGGCCCCCAGGTCTGACTCTCATCTCAGTTCTCCTTTAATAACCACACTTTGATAATTCTCCTTAACAGGGGTTCCTGGCAAGTCAGTTCTTCCTCAGGCCTTCGGTTTCCTCACCTACAAGATGAGAGGGCTGGACCAGATGGAAATTCAGGGTGGAAGGGGATGTCCGCGCACAGCCCACCACCCCCCCCCCACAGGACCCTGGACCCTCCATCCCAGTTCCCACCACGCACCCGCCCCACAAATCGCGCTCAAGGTGAGGGCTGGTCCCGGGTCCTCCTGCTGCCGCATCAGCAAATGCAGGAGGGAGGGGAAGACTCCAAGGGCGCAATGCGGGCTCAAGGATGCAACTGGGCCAGGAGTGAACTGGGGCCCCGAGGGAGGTGTCTGAGCTCCTCCTGGAGCCCAGCCCCGGTCCCCGAACCCCTTACCTCCAGGGTCGTTATCTTCTGCTGGGTGAGGTTGTTCGACACAGCGCACTTGGTGCCCAGCCAGCAGCGAAGGCTGCCAATGAAGATGCCAATGAGCTTCTGGAGCTGCCCGCGGCCCCTGCGCCACCCTCCGCTAATGCCGCATCACCCCCGCCACCACCCTCCTTCTTCTCTCCCATCGCCTCTGCGCGCAGCGCCGCTCTATGCAGGCCACAGAGGCCGAGGCAGGGAGCCCGGGGCGCCGGCGCCTAGGCAAAGAACCCCCGAGCCAGGAGAGCTGGACCAGGAGCGCCCCTCGGCGCTGCCCTTGCCAGGACGCCAGTGGAGCTAGCAGCCGAGTCTGCCGCTCCTGCCCTCACAGCCGCAGCACCGGGGGAAAAATCCTCCGCGGCGGTGGCAAAAAGCCACGGCGGCGGGGGCAAAAAGCAGCGGGAGTGGTGGCAAAAAAAAAAAAAAACACAAAAAGCCGTGGCGGCGGGGGGAAAAAGCCATGGCGGCAAAAAGTCTCAGCGGCGGGGACAAAAAAACCGCGGAGGCGGGGGTAAAACGCCGCGGCATCGGGGGAAAAAGCCACGGCGGCGGGGGCTGATAGCTCCGGTGGCAAAAAGCCGCGGCGGCAAAAAGCTCGGGCGGTGGGGGAAAAAGCCGCGGCGGCGTGGGCAAAAAGCCGCAAAAAGTAGTGGCGGCGGGGGCAGAAAATCGCTGCGACTGGGGGAAAAAGCCGCGGCGGCGGGGACAAAAACGAGCGGCACGGAGCAAAAAGCCGCGGCGGTGGGCGCAAAAAGCCGCGTCCGTAAAACCCGCGGCGGTGGGGGAAAAAGCTGCAAAAAGCAGCGGCGACAGGTGCAAAAAGCCACGGTTGCGGGGGTAAAAATCCGCGGCGGCGGAGTCAAAAAGCCTCGGCGGCAAAAACCCGCGGTGGCGGGAGCAATAAGCCGCGGCGGCGGGGGCAAAAAGACGCGGCGGCCAAAAGCCGCGGCGGCGGGGAGTAAAAAGCCGCGTCGGCAAAAGCCGCGGCGATGGGGGTAAAAAGCCGCGTTGGCAAAAACCGCGGTGGCGGGGAGCCAAAAGCCGCCGCGGCCAAAAAGCCGTGCCGGTGGCGGCGGCGGCAAAAAGCCGCGGCGTCGGGGGCGGGGGCAAAAAGCCGCGGCGGCGCGGGCCGAAAGCATCGGGGGCAAAAAAACACAAAAAGCTGCGGCGGGGGGGAAAAAAGCCGCGGTGGCAAAAAGCCTTGGCGGCCGGGGCAAAAAAGGCGTGGCGGTGGGCGCAAAAAGTCGTGGCAGTGAGGGTAAAAAGCCGCGTCGGCAAAACCCGCGGCGGCGGGGGAAAAAGGTGCAAAAAGCCGCAGCGATGGGGGCAAAAAGCCGCGATGGCGGGGGCAAACAGCCCCGGCGGCAAAAACCGGCGGCGGCGGGAGCAAAAAGCCACGGCAGCAAAAAGCCGTGGCGGCGGGGGCAAAAAGCCGCGGCAGCGGGGAGTAAAAAGCCGCAGTGATGGGGGTAAAAAGCCGCGTTGGCAAAAACCGCGGCGGCGGGGCGCAAAAAGCCGCGGAGGCGGGGAGCAAAAAGTCGCAGCGGCGGGGCGCAAAAAGCCGCGGAGGCGCGGGCAAAAAGCCGCGGCAGCGGGGGGTAAAAAGCCCTGTCGGCAAAAGCCGCGGCGGCGGTGTCAAAAAGCCACGGCGGCGGGGAGCAAAAAGCCGCAAAAGCCGCGGCGGCGGGGGCAAAATACCGCGGCGGCAAAAAGCCCCGGCGGCGCGGGCAAAAAGCCGCGGTGGTGGGGGCAAAAACCATCTGGAGCGGGGGCAAAAAAAGCCGCGAGGGCGGCGGCGGCAAAAAGCGGCGGCGGCGGCGGGAAAATGCAGCAAAAAGCCGCGGCGGCGGGGGGAAAAAGTCGCAAAAAACAGCGGCGGCTGGGGTAAAAAGCCACGGCGGCAAAAAGCCTCGGCGGCGGGGGCAAAAAGCCGCGTTGTCAAAAGCGTGGCGGCGGGGGCCAAAAGCCGCGGCGGCGGGGACTGAAACCCACGGCGGCGGGGGCAAAATACCGCGGCGGCAAAAAGCCGTAAAAAGCCATGGCGGGGACAAAAAGCCGCAAAAAGAGCCTTTTTAGGGAAAAGTGCAATTGCTAACATCTGAATAGTATATTAAGGATGCCAATCTAAAATTTGCTAATAGCATCATATTTACAAAATAATAACTATTAACATGAGAAGTAATGTAATATTTAATAATTAACATTATATTACAATTCTGGGAATTCTGATCAATGCAATAAAATATCAAGAAGAAATAATTCGAAAGAGGTGATAACATTATTTACAAATAGTACAAGAATAAGGAACCTTAAAATGATCATTTTCTATAATTTATTATAGTAAATTGTTAAAGTCTACCTTAGGAAAGTAACACTAAGAGAAAATGTTAATAAAAATACCTTTGGAGTTATTTATGTTAACAAAATTTGGAAAAGCCTAAATATTTAGCTAGAAGGAAACGGTACATTGATATAGACTGGCATTAAACTTAGTTTCTTGATTTGATTAAACTTAGTTTCTATGAGACATTTGTATCATTCAAAGTTGTATGTATAGACACTGACTGAAACATAAACTGGGTCATAATATTGAATATGTGATGTAATGGCAACCATGAAGAAAATATCAGAGAACCAAATGGAAGGAAAAGAACAGAACCTGAATAATGATTACCTTTGGACAGTGGGATCTTAGTTCCTTTTACTCTTCCTACTAATTTAAAATTTGCAAATTTATTACCTTGAGAATATGAGAATACGTTATATTTATAATTAGAAAACATAAAATGAGTGCTAAATAAACAAATATACCAAATTCTGTTTAGAATTCACTTCCCCAAGAAACTTTCTTTGATTAATCCCACTGGCATTGATCATTATTTTATATGGCACCCCCGTACTTATGTATTCAGTTTCTACCAAATTAATTTGCATGTTTTAAAAAATCAATTTATAAGCATAATTATGGCATTTCTACATTTATATAGTGTAGTCTCCAAACTGAATTATAAGCTTGAGGATATGAGGAACCACAGTGTATTTCCAATTATATTTATACAATAAATCATGTGGTACTTTTCACAGAGTGAATGTTGTTAACTTACTGAAGACCTGACGAAACAGGGGAAAGATGGCAATGTCTGACAAGAGGAACAGACGTGAAATAAAATCCAACATTCTGTGTAATTCTTATTGTCTCTTAACCCTACTTGTTGAATTACGAAAACTTCATATACAAAAATTCGAGCATTATACTCTTTAGCTGTACATTATCATTTCAAAACAAACTTATACATGGCTCTCACTATTACAATAGTCTTCCCACTGTAAAAACTTTTAAGCTGTAACTTTCTGCCATTACTACGTTACCTTCATATTAGTTTATGCCATACTTCTTTCTGAGTTTCTGTCAATATTCATCTGAGGTATTTTTGTGTAAAAATTAGATAGTAACAGGAAAATAGATAACTGCTTCCAATATGTAGAAGTCATTACTACAGCTTTGCCTATTAACACATACACACTATTTCTTCATGTCCCAGATGTTCAGGTATATGGGAATGAAACAATGAGTTGGAACCTCTTGATTCAGTTATTCTGGTGACAAACAATGTGTATAGCTCATTGACGATTGTTTAACCCTTGACAAAGTGGCTGCAATTGTTACTTGCAGATGTAGCCACACTTAATTTCTTTTCTCCACTCCCCACTGCATTGTATTTGTTATTCTTGATATCAGAAATGTGTTAAGAAATATGCCACTAACTGGGTGTGCTCCCTATACAATTAGCTACAGAAAGAGGTGATAACTCATATTATTTACAAAGATTACAAGTATAAAGAACCTTAAAATAATCATTTTCTATAATTTGTTATCAATTGTTGTTTATTTTAACAATTATCAATTAGCTACAGAACACGAGTAGTGTTTCTTACTTTAGCCTGATGTAAACATGTGATGCGGTAATATAGTGAAGAATATTACTCACTTCAGGGGATAGGGCTTTGGTCAAGAATTTTGAGAAACTCTTGAAAAAGGAAAAGAAAACTCCCCGTGATAGTAAGACAATTCCAAAAGCAAAAGGAGAAAAAATGTAAATGTATTAAATCAAAAAATATTTTAAGGTAAGGCAAAAGTAGGTATAGAATGGTGAGTCACATACAAATTGTGAAAGTGAGTAATGGCCCAGAAATCAAAGGAGAGGGAAAAATATGGTAGGTGAATATGGTTGCAATGCTAATTAAAAAAATGTTATTAGCAGCTAGCTCAATTCAAGCTTTGAATAAATAGAAAGAGTGTTTATAACAGTACGCTTAATCTACTGGTGATAATATTAAGATAATTGTTGAAATATACTTAAAAGAAGTTAGTGAAAGCAGAGAATGAAAGACTATTGAACTTTTCTGGTTTATTGTGTAAAAATTTGCCTGTATCCAACATACAGGCACAAAAATAAAATACTGGAAATAGAGAGCAAATCTTGGCCATTCAAATGAGAGTCAGCTATTAATTCTTTGGCCATAGGCTGTACTCCTACAAGCAAACTACGGCTAAAATATGCGATTCAATACAGATACTCATTTTTCAAGTGTTTACAACCTGTTTGAGTCCATTTGGACTGCTGTAACAAATTACCTTAGACTGGGTAATTTATAAACCAAATTTATTATTCTCAGTTCTGGGGGTTGGGAAGTCCAAGATCTAGGTGCCAGCAGAGTTGTTACCTGGTGAGGTTTGTTTCTCAAACTTACTGCTGCATCTTCACATGGCATAAGGGCAAAAGGGGCAAAGTAGCTCCCTATGGGTTCTTTTATAAGGGGACTAACCCATTCATGACGGCTCCCCAACCCCCTTAACCTACTCACATCCCAAAGACCGCCCCTATTTATTTATTTATTTATTTATTTATTTATTGAGATGGAGTCTTGCTCTGTTGCCCAGGCTGGAGTGCAGTGGCACAATCTCAGCTCACTGCAACCTCTGGTTCCCAGGTTCAAGCAATTCTCCTGCCTCAGCCTCCCGAGTAGCTGGGATTACAGGCGTGTGCCACCACACCTGGCTAATTTTTGTATTTTTAGTAAAGATGGGGTTTTACCATGTTGGCCAGGCTGGTCTTGAACTCCTGACCTCATGATCTGTCCACTTCGGCCTCCCAAAGTGCTGGGATTACAGGTGTGAGCCACTGTGTCCAGCCTGGCCTCACATCTTAACACCAACATACTGGGAATTAGATTTCAATATATGAGTTTTGGAGAGATATAAACTTTAGGCCCACAGCACAAACCAAGGATGAATGTATGAGGCACCTGTCAAAATACACATTTGAAAAGATCAGAACGTCTGCAATGCCAAATGAATTACATTTGTAGAGGCAAATTCTAACAATGAAATGAGAAGAACTGCAAACAGAAGGAATCACAGAGAGAACCATTTAATTTTAACATTGAAGAAAAACTTTGAATGTGGGTTCCATCCAATTGTACAATAACTCAATGTATACAGCATCAACACTTTTAAAACATTGAGATAAAATATTTTTGGATTTTATCAAATTTGATGTAATGCTAGAAGAAGAATTCATACTTCGAAGGGACTGTGATAAATTAAAGGATTTATTTAGTTCTGTTTGCACTTGCTACATGCTGTTTCCAATATGAATATTTTCACAAGATTTACATGTCTAATACATGAGTTGGCTCCTGACCTTGAAGCAATTGTTAGCAATAGATACACTGGTAAAAAAAATTATCTTCTGCTGTCCTGCATGACCATGGACATGGACATCTTAGTATTTATGTGTAATAAAAACTTTCAGTTCAGCTTAGTAAGTATTTATTGACAATGTGCTAATCATGAGGAGGACTGTGGATAAAGGTGGATGATAAAGACAAATTTAAGTTGGGAAAACTACCACCACTACATCTACAAGGGCTGAAAGTATATACAAGTCAGAAGCACACAGAAATCACTGAACCACAAAGTAAATGGCCGTAAGTGCTGTTATATACCCAAAGCATGTCCTACTTATATAGTCCTTTAAATGTATAAATAATACATTAATTGTGACTGGGAAGGGAGAAAGTTTCTAGGAATAGTTCTTTAAAAAGTTGCATCAGTTTTGATTAATACATAGAAAGAGACTGTTACAGAAGAAGAGCTAGCTAACAGAAGACCTAGCATCATTTTATTCTTGCACAGTATCAGGGAACCCAACAGTTTTGTCAGCAGTAGCTACTTTTAGTTTCCTTGGATACTTGAGATCATCTGGGAAGATTGTGGTAAGTAAGGCTGCTGATGAAGACTTTGATTAAGAAAGGATTTATCAGGAGCTGGGCACAGTCGCTCTTGCCTGTAATCCCAGCCATGTAGGAGGATGAGGCAGGAAGACTGCTTAAATCCAGGAATTAGAGATTAACCTGGGCAATATAGCCAGACCACCTTCTCTACAAAAATAAAAAAACAATTAGATGGGCATTATGGCACATGCCTGTGGCCCCAGCCATTGGGGAGACTGAGGTAAAAAGATCACTTGGGCCCAGGAGTTTGAGGCTACAATAGGCTGTGATTGTGATGGCAGTGGCTGCTGCCATCATGCCAGCTGCAGGGGAGAGGTGTGGCCGGGGTTGTATGCTCCCTGGATTTGGCAGGATGAGGACAAGTGGGAGCCCTGCCCTTCCGAGTTGGAATGGGAGCTCCCTGGGTGCTGCTGCAGCTGCCCAAACTGCAGCTGTAGCTGTAGACCTGGACCTCCCACTCCATGGAGCAGACGGGAGTTTATCCAACTCCCCTACTCTGTCCCCACCCCAGCCCACCACCCAGCCACCCAAACCAATGCTGCAGACTCAGGCATCCCTGCACTCTTGGGGAGCCTGGGAACGCCCCCCTTGCCCCTTGCAGGCTTGGAGGCACCTCTTCCTGCTGCCTGGTCTCTCCCACCTCCTGGCTCTGTGCTCTGATCATAGAGTGGGGTTGGGACCCAGCAGGGTGCTGTCACTGCCCAGCCAGGTGTGCACAAATTGGAAGCACTGCTGACATGCCAGTCCCCTGCCACCTCAGCCCCTTCTGGACTTTGAACACTGAGAAGCAGGAGCATGGGAGGGGAAGATGAGGGGGTCCGAGGGTGGCTTGGCACTGGCCTGCAAGTGCCCCTTGATGCCAGCAGCCTGGGTGCCATGGATGGTTGTGGGAGGCAGACAGGCTCCTGGGTGGAAGGTGATGAGTCCCCAGTGAAGCCCCACCTGCAGGCTAGGCTGCCAGTCCTGCAGACTGGAGGCAAAACTCATGGTGCTTTTTCCTGGGCCCGCCCATGGCTGCCCATGGACCAATGGGCATACATTTCCTCCCCTCTGACATCCATAAAAGCCCAGGACTCAGCCAGAACAGGGCAGAAGACAGAGGAGGGAAGATTAGAGGCAGGAAGGAGCTATCCTTTCTGCTGATAGCTGGAGACAATGGGAGGGCCAGCTGTTTTCTCTGCTGAATGCTTCAGAGACCTGCAGAGATGTCTGGGAACTACCAGCTGCAGACAGGAGCAAACCTCTCCAGGGTTTCCCTTTCTCCTGAGAGCTGAACACTTGACAGAACAACCTAGAGAGGAGCTACCCACTATGGGTCTCCTCTGAGCTGTTCTAACACCTAATAAAGCTCCTCTCCTTTAACCCTTCACTTGTCTACCTACACCATTCTTCCTGGAAGCAGGACAAGAACTCGGGCAAAGATGCCACCAACCACAGTTTCCAAACCAGAAAATCGACACCCCAAAGATTCCGTAACAATTGCACAACTGCACTCCAGCCTAGGTGACAGAGTGAGACCCTGACTCTTAAAAAAAAAGAAAAAAAAAAAAGAAATTATCCACAATTTATTAGATAAGACTGTTAATAGCTTCTAATTGTGATACCTTCCCGTTTGAAATGGAAGGCATGGAAGTTAACACCAGGTCAGTTTTCCCAAAGTTATAACCCTGCTTTTGGCCTCTTTCAGCTCCAGTCAGACATTAGCAATGCTCAGTTACCTTCAATATTAAGCCGGTCCTGACATGAAACTGGCAGCATTTGAGAACACTGACCCAGACTTGAAGGTAGATCTGGAATTAGGATTGCTGCTTTAAGCCCAGTATCAAGGTATACAATGAACCATGAATTTCTCATAAACCAAATTTAGTGGATTTTTTCCTATAATTCTGAGGATAACTTTGACTTGATTATATATTAAAACAATTCATTTGCTGTATCTTCATTACTGTCCCAAATGTTTTGGGTTGACATACTGATGTTAGCTAGTGGTTTTGGTCTCAAGTTTCAGTAGCTGCTCCAATGTAAAATGATCACACATAAATCTTAGGTTTTTACTCATATGATACCTTGTCTGATACTATCTTTATCTATCAAATAAAGGGTTTAGTATTTTCTTAGTCAATGTGGGCTGCTATAACGGAAAACACAGATTGAGTAAAACAATAAACATTTGTTTTTCACAGATCCGTAGGCTGTAAATCTGAAATCAGGGAGTCAGCATGGTTGGGTTCTTGGTGAAGGCTGTCTTCCTGGTTTACAGATGGCTGTCTTATTTTATCCTCACATGGAGGAGAGAAAAATCTCTCTTGTATCTCTTTCTAGAAGGGCACTACTTTCCTTTGATGAGGGTTTCATCTTCATGACCTAATTACCTCCCAAAGGTTTACCTCCTAATACCAATACATTGAGAGTTAGGATTTCATCATATGAATTTGAGGGATTTGCAGTTCATAATAACTACCAATGTCAACTCAGTTCAAGCTTGAATTTGTTTTGCTTTGGGTGACAAATCTCTAACTAATTTGAATTCATCTTTCCCCAGTCTGGTTCAGTGTTGTCTTCTTTCTCCTTCACCACCAACAGTTAGCAAGATGTCAGTTTTACTTGAGGCTAAGTATGTTTTAGTTATCACAATAGAGAACCCTGTAAGCTATATCTTAGTTTCCCCTTTCATAATATTTTTCATTATGGAAAAAATACATTCTAAACATTGTTCCTATTCTAAGAAACTTGGCTGCATCTTTGCAACAAAAATAATGTGGACATTTACCAAATACAGCTGTAGAGAAAGGTAAAATCATTGCTCTGAATTATTCATAAAATCACAGAAATTAGGGACAAACACAAAATAAGAATGAATTATTCAGTGACCCGAAACAGATATTTTCTTTAGTTTCTCATGTAATTTGAAATGTACCGCAATTTACATCCTGAGTGTTATAAACATATGATGTTTCTCTTTTAGTGAAAAGCACCCATCAGAACTTGTTAAACAAATGAGTTTTTTTCTCTTCCCATCTCTAAAAGCATTTTTCATACCTACACATCTACAAATATGTTTTAATAGACCTAAACTCTATATGATGTCATTTTCCCCTTGAGTACCAGAATATATATTTAGTCCTGTAGAATTATTTAGCTCTCAGGTGCTGAGTTACTATTTCCCAGGAGTCGCATTGCCCAAAGTACTGTGGACATTTTTCTCATTTTAAATTTCACCTCACATGGTCCTTTGGTTTTGTTACATTTTGTACCTGTTTTGATTGTTTTTTTCCTCTCTATGAAAATTACTTGCCAAGTAAGGAGAAAAAGTATTGCTGTTTTTCCTTATTCAAAAATTATGGTAGATGAAAAAAATCTGATTAAATAACTCTATTACAGTCTTTCTCAACTTTTTACTGAGATAAACTTGAAGGCACTGAAAAGGTGAAATTTTCAGCTATTGAAAATTTAGAATGTAGGACATCATGCCGAGATTTGAGGAAACCTATCAATAATTTAGCAAGGGATGGTAGTAGATACACAAAAAGCAATTAGAAGCAAAAAGGCCTTGGATTCTTTTCATGTTAAAGAAAATACATTCTGAAAGTAAGTACAAAGACCCTTTGTATTTCCTTCATAACCTGTTCCCTAACAGAATACCAAGACCTATGCCAAGGGAAAAACTGTGTAGATGTGTTTTTCTCTTCTGGTGCTGATATGGTCATAGGATGGGGATGCTCTCTCTTTGCTATTTCTCTAACCAATCTTATTACTATATCAATTAATATCAAAACATTTCAAGTCTAGTTACTGACAAGAGAGTAAACTAGAGAGGACTCCTGACTCATAACAAGGATTCAGATCTAGAGTTCTCATAGAGTGAAGAGATTATGTTTGCAACTGAGAAACGAATGTAAAAACTGTAAGGAATCCCTGGAGAGTCTGAAAGTCCCTGAGCCCTGATACAGAGAGCAAATGGCAGTTTAAGGCTGACCACCTCTCATTCCCTCCACTATTTCTCACATAAGAATATTACAGTACACTCTTCACTGTTCTCTCTGCTTCAAGCTTTCCCTTCCACCTCTCTATTCCACAGAGAAGGTAGAATGCTCCTCTTAAAATACAAGGTGGATTATTTTACGCATCTGCTTAAAAACTTTTCAATGGCTTCTCATCTCATTCTGAATAAAATTCAAAGTGCTTTCCAGGCTTACAAGTCCCTGTACGATCCTGAGCCTTGACAATATCTCTGACAAAATCTCCAGCCTCCCATTGGTCACTCCTGCTCTATCACAGTAGTGTACTTGCTGCTGTTTTGAAATATAGAAAGCATGATTTTACTTCAGTGTCTTTATCCTTGTTATTTTCTCTGCCTGCCTTTTTCTGTGTCTTGGGCATTCCATATGACTCATCTCCTCATTCCCCTTAGTCCTTTTTCCATGTGGCATTTGAATACAGAAATCTTCACTATCTAAAATTATACTCCCATATCCATAACTTCTTTTATTGCTCTAGATATCCTTACAGCATTTATCATTACCATTTATTAGCTTATTTGTCTTTCCTTACTAAAATGTAAACTAAATACAGACAGAAATTTTTGTAATTAAAAAACACATAACAAAAAAATCTACCATCTTAACAAAATTTTAAGTTTGCAGAACATTTTGTTAATGATATACACATTGTTGTACAGCAGAAATCTAGAATGTTTTTATCTTGCTTGACTGAAACTCTACACCTGGTGAACAGCAACTCCAGATTTCCTGTTTCCTCCAGGCCCTGACAACTACCATTTTATCTTGTGTTTCCATGTGTTTGGCTACTTTCAATACATCATATAAATGGAATCACGATATATTTGTGTTTGTGTCTGGCTTATTTCACTTAGCACAATATCCTTAAGATTGATACATGTTGAAATAAGACAGAATTTTCCTTTTGAAGGCTTACTAATATTCCATTCTGTGTGTGTATGTATATATACACATAAATATACCATATATATACACCATACATATATATGCCATACTATATTTATCATACATATATATATATACACCATACATATATATACCATACATATATATACCATACATATATATATATATATATACACACACACACATATACCATATTTTCTTCATCTGTTCATTTGATGATGGACTTTTAGATTGTTTCTACTTTTTGGCTATTGTGAATAATTCTGTAATGAATATGGGAATGCAAATATCACTTCAAGATCTTGTTTTCAATTATTTTGGAATTATTCAATTATTTTGGAAAAATGCCCACAAGTGGGATTGCTGCATCATATGGTAGGTCTATTTTTTAATGTTTTGAGGACCCTCCATACTGTTTTCCATAGTGGCTCTACCATTTTACATTCCTACTGACAGTACATAAGGTTCTAATTCAATTTCTCCACATCTTCATCAACACTTGCTATTTTCTTTTTTTTAAAATGGTCATACAGTTATGAGGTGATAAATCCCGTTGTGATTTTAATTAGCATTTCCCTGATGATTAATGATGTTGAGTATCTTTTTATATCCCTGTTGGTCATTTGCATGTCTTCCTGAAAAATATCTATTTAAGAATTTGGCCATTTTAAAATTGGGTTATGTGTTTATTTGCTTTTGAGTTCTAGGTGTTTCTTATATATTTTGGATATTAAGCCCTTAGCACATATACGGTTTTCAAATATTTTCTCCAATTCTATAGGCTGCCTGTTCACTCTGTTGTTTCCTTTTTTGCACAGAAGCATTTTATCTTGATGTAATCACCCTAACCTATTTTTGCTTTTGTTGCCTGTGCTTTTGGTATCAAATCCAAGGAATTATTGCCACGACCAATGTGATAAAGCCTTTCTTTATGTTTTCTTGTAGTTTTACAGCTTTAGTTCTTACATTTAAGTCTTCAATCCATTTGGAGTTAACATTTGTGAACAGTTTTAAGATAACGGTTCACTTTCATTCTTTTGCATATGGATATCCAGTTTTCCCAACAATATTTGTTGAAGAAATTATCCTTTCTCCATTGTATAGTTTTGGCACCCTCATCAAAGATCATTTGACTATATGCATGTGGGTTTATTTCTGGGCTTGCTTTCCTTCCTTCCTTCCTTCCTTCCTTCCTTCCTTCCTTCCTTCTTTCTTTCTTTCTTTCTTTCTTTTTCTTTCTTTCTTTCTTTCTTTCTTTCTTATTTCTTTCTTTCTTTTTGAGATGGAGTCTTGCTCTGTAACCAAGGTGGGAGTGCAGTGGTGTGATCTTGGCTCACTGCAACCTGTTCCTCCTGGGTTCAAGCGATTCTCCTACCTCAGCCTCCCAAGTAGCTGGAATTACAGGTGCCCATAACCATGCCCAGCTAATTTTTGTATTTTTTCATAGAGACGGGGTTTCACCATGTTAGCCAGGCTGGTCTTGAACTCCCGACCTTAGGTGATCTGCCCGCCTTGGCCTCCCAGTGGGCTTTCTATTCTGTTCCAATAATCCATTCTGTTCCATTCATCTATATGATTAGTTTTACATTAATATCACACTATTGGGATTGCTGTAGCTTTGTAGTATATTTCAAAGTCAGAAAATGTGAGGCCTCTAACTGTTTCTCTTTCTTAGGATTGTTTTGGATATTCAGGGTCCATTGTGGTTCCATATGGATTTTAGAATTGTCCTTTCTATTTCTCTAAAATTATCATTGGAATTTATACAATTCCAAGGGATTACATCAAATCTGTAAATTGCTTTGGCTAGTATTAGAATTTAAAAATATTCTTTGAATTCACAAAAATGAGATAGCTTTCCATTTATTTGTGTCTTCCTTAATTTCTTTCAGCAATATTTTGCAGTATTCAGTGTACAAGTCTTTCCCCCACCGGCTAAGTTTATTCCAAAGTATTTTATTCAGTTTGATGCCATTGCAAATGGATTGTTTTCTTAATTTCCTTTTCAGAATGTTTGCTGTTTGTGTTTTTTTGAATCTTTACTTTGAATCCTGCAACTTTGCTGAATTAATTTTATTAGTTCTAAGAGCTTTTTGTTGAATCTTTAGGGTTTTTTTAATATATAAGATGATGTTTTCTGGGAATAGAAAAAATTTTACTTACTTCTCCCTTTCCAATTTGGATGCCTTTATATCTTTTTCTTGCTGAATTATTTTATCTAGGACTTTATGTACTTCATAAAGGTGTCCTTGCCTTGTTCCTGATCCTGATCTTAGAAGAAGAGATTTCAGTTTTTCTTCATTAATATGGTGTGAAATGTGGGTTTTTACATATGGCCTTTATTCTGTTGGAATAATTTCTTTCTATTCCTATTTTTTCAAGTGTTTTTCTAATGAGAGAATGTTGAATTTCATCAAATGATCTTTCTCCATCTACGGAGATGAACACGTTATTTGAATTATTTTGTTAATGTGGCATATTATATTGATTTGCACATGTTGAACCCTTCTTGCATTCCAGGAACAAATCCATCATAATTATGGTGGATGATACTTTATAGTGCTGTTGAATTCAATTTACTGGTATTTGTTGAGGATTTTGCATCTACATTCATTAGGAATATTTAATTTTTTTTTCTTGTAGCACCATTGTCTGGCTTTGATATTAGGGTTATACTAGCTTCACAAAAAGAGTTTAGAATAGTTCTTTCTTCTTTAACTTTTTAGGAATGTTTGAGAAATATTGGCATTAATTCTTCCTTAAATGTTGGCAGAATTCTCTAGTAAAGTCATCTGCACCTGAGATTTTCTTTCTTGGAAGATTTTTGAGTACTAATTTAAACACCTTACTAGCTATAGATTTGTTCATATTTTGTATTTCTTTTTGATTCAGTGTTGTTTGTTGTATATTTCTAGTAATTTGATTTTTTTCTAGGTTATCCAATTATTACCATAATCATTCACAGCAGTCTCTAATAATCTTTTTTATTTCTGTGGCATCAATTACAATGTCTACTTTTTCATTTTTAATTTTATTTGGTTGAGTCTTTTCTCTTTTTAATTGCCATATTCCATTGTATAGTAATACCACAGTTTTTTTTTTAATCTATTCACTTGCATTGGTTCTTTCTGGTTATAATGAAAATATGTGTGTGAAAATATCCTTTATTTGCTTAATCTTTATTATTTCCTTCCTTTTGCTGGGTTTGGGCTTGGTTCTTTTTTTTAGTTCCTTGAGTTGTAAAGTTAGGTTGTTTATTTGAGATCTTTCTTCTTTTTTAAGGTAGGCATTTATTGCTATAAATTTCCCTCTTTAGTACTGCCTTTGCTGCATTTCTAAGTTTTGCTATGTTGTGTTTTTTTATTTTTTTGTCAGCTTGTTTTCTAATATTCTTTTTGATTTCTTCTTTGACTCATTGGTTGTTCAATAGTATGTTGTTTAATTTCCATATATTTGTAAATGTTTCCGTTTTCCTTCTACTATTGAATTTTTGCTTCATCCTACTTTTGGTCAAAACAGGTTCTTGATTTTCTTTGTCTTAATTTTGTTAAGACTCGCTTTGTGACCTAACATTTGATCTATCCTGGAGAATTTGTCAGGATATGTCACTTTGCCAGATAATTTATATACCTCCATTTTTGAAGGGTTGATATTTGGAAACTTATTTTCTTCCTTTTATTAGGCCATGTTTCCCTGTTTCCTTGTGTGCCTTTTAATTTTGTGTTGTGATTCTAGGATTTGAAAAAAATAACCACTTCTCCTTGTCTTTACAGACTGGTTTTGCACTGGGAAATCCTTTCACCAGTCAGCCCAGTTAGAGATTCTGAAGTGTGTCAAATCTTTCTGTGAATGTATTGTCTCTGAAATTGTGTGTAAATTCTGAGAAAAATTTGCAGGTCTTTCTTCAGGAGCATGTAATCTCTTGCTCTCTTTGTTATCTATCTGTAGTACTGTAGGTTATCTGGAGTTGCTATAACCCCCTAGCTCTCTTTTGTTCTCAGCAGTCCTCAGACATGAAGAGTATCCGGTCAGACAGAAAACAGTCCGTCAGGCTGACTGGGAAAAGTTGAAATTCTGGATGCACACTCCAGCTTTTTCCTTCTCCAAGGGGAAGCCAGGAGATGAGGGTTTTATCCCACTCATTGCATATTGATCCAGGGAAGGATGATATGATAAGTGAATGTATGCTAACCCAAACTTCCTCAACTCATTTATTCTTAATATCCCCAACCTGGAAAGCTTT
Organism: Homo sapiens; assembly: GCF_000001405.40. Taxonomy (NCBI): domain Eukaryota; kingdom Metazoa; phylum Chordata; class Mammalia; order Primates; family Hominidae; genus Homo; species Homo sapiens. Next base: position 13,022 of record NT_187504.1, on the reverse strand, counting down.
CCTATTAACGCTTAAATTCAGGCAAGACAGAAAACAATCACTTGGCAACTCCCCCAAAATCTGAACACTGAATGTGTGTTGCAGTATTCTCTTTCACTTCTGTGGGGGAATCAGGAACTGTAGAGTATTCTCCCAATCTTGTTATACTGAGTCACAGGAGGAATGATGGTGATTGAGTGACAGTCCAAACTGTGGCTTTATCAGCAGGCATGCAATTTGGCATCCTTTCCTGTTAGCACTTAGATTCAGGGTAGATAGGTGCTAGTGCCCTCCCAAAAAGTCAAAATGTTGGACATATGTTCTAGACTTTTCTTTCTCTCCCTAGAGATGAGCTGGGAGTTTGGAGCTTTCTCTCCATTGCGTTGTACTGCTGAAGGAGGATGAGTGAGTGCAACAAATTTACCTGCTGGTTTTGATGTGCCTGGCTTGAAGCCTACCAGGGAATCCAGAGTCTTTAAATTCGCCTCTGAACTTTTCACAAAGGGGATTTATCTGTGTATTATCGTCTAGCTGGTGTCTCCTTGGAGAGGAGGGTGGAGTGGCTTTGAGGCTTTCTATTTCATCATCTTGCTGGTATCCTGATGGGAATTTTAAACTGGGCTCCTTTCCCCACATTGTTGGAGAATGGATCCTGGGTGATTATAGGTACTCATGAAATACTGGATAAATTATTATTTATCATTTACTTACAAAAACTTAAAATTTTTATTATGGGAAATAAGTTTTTAATCACTATTAAAGTTTGTTTGAAGCACTAATTCATTACTGTGAAAAGTGGGGAGGGGTATAAACGTCAAGCATTTGTCTACTTATCTTGTTTTTCCTGTCCAAACTGTGTTTTGGTGTAATCAATACACATTTGGGAGGAAATGTTCTTTTAGAAATTATTCCAGCTAATAAATGAAGAAAAAAATGAAAGAATGTAGTACCCTGTTATAACACTTAGTAAAATAATGGTTGAAACAAGTTTTCTAATGAATGCTAAAGCTATTAGTTGAAAAGTTGATGCAAAACTTTACTGTGGAAGAATGTAGCTGACATTAATTTCTTATCTGAATTACATTTTTTGAAACTTCATGACTCTTTGAATTTAAAAGGGATTTTGGTGTCATTATTTTTTCTTTTACAGTCTCTTTTTTCACATAAAAATCAACTATTAACTGATTGGTTTTATGGTCTTTTGGAAAGAGACTATATAAATTCTGCTTTTTGTATGAAGATCTCTTTTACACCGTCAGAGGAAATTTTATCTCTTGTAAGCTCTGATTTCATCTTTCAATTTTATTTTGAATTTCTTTCTTTGTCTTTTGTTTTATCAGCACCTTGTTTAATTTAAAATAGATTCAGTGTCAACAAGGAGTTAAATCAGGAAACTAATTTATCCAGAAATGCAAATATTTTTGCAGATATTTTATCCTTTGTTTTAGATCTTTAATATGTAATTTCTAAAAATGAAATATGGACAGTTTGCTTGATTTCTGAGCATAGTCATTGAATAATTTTACCAAAATAAGCAAACATTTTTCGAGCTTTTCTTTTTCCTTGAGACTGAGTCTTGCTCTATCACCCAGGTTGGAGTGGGGTGGTGTGATCTTGGCACACTGCAAACTCTGCCTTCCAAGTTCAAGCAATTCTTCTGCCTCAGCCTCCTGATTAGCTGAGATTACAGTTGCCCACCGCCACACCCAGCTAATTTTTTTTTTTTATTATTAGAGACGGGGTTTCATCGTGTTGGTCAGGCTAGTCTCCAACTCCTGACCTCAAGTGATCCGCCCACTTCGACCTCCCAAAGTGCTGGGATTACAGGCATAAGCCACCACGCCCGGCCTGGAGCATTTTGATATAATTAATTACTGATGAAACCTTTTAATATAATGTTAGACAGCCCATTTAAAAATAATCCAGTATAATTATTATATTCTTTATATGACTACATTTCACAGTGAAATAACTTAGCACTCTGTATTTATAATGCTTTGAAAATACATATTAGTTGCTGATTTTCTATTCCAAACAGAAATTATAGGACACCTTATTATATAAACACAAGAATTCAATATCAATTTTCACACTTTAAAACAATAGTCTTGGCCCTGTGCGGTGGCTTGCGCCTGTATTCCCAGCACTTTGGGAAGTCGAGGCAGGTGGATCACGAGGTCAGAAGATTGAGACCATCCTGGCTAACAAGGTGAAACCCCGTCTCTAATAAAAATTTAAAAAAAAATAGCCTGGTGTGGTGGCGGGGGCCTGTAGTCCCGCTACTAGAGAGGCTGAGGCAGGAGAATGGCATGAAGCCAGGAGGCTGAGCTCGCAGTGAGCCGAGATGGCGCCACTGCACTCCAGCCTGGATGACACAGCAAGACTCCGTCTCAAAAAAAAAAAACTTTTCAATTTTTAAAGTTTTTCTCAAACTACCCATCAGAGAAGTTTAACATCTCCATTTACATTTCTATGATGTTATACAGAAATATTTTATTTCTCTCCCCAGAATAATATAGGCAAAATCTCTCCCTCTGACTATACACACCTGGTATTGTTATTTTAATTGTTTAAGGATTTCTATCTCTTCCTATTCTGAATGATTACTCTCTTTTTGAGCTTTCTTGCAGTAACCGTTTTAAATAGTCTCTAGACAACTTTCTAGATTCTAGGATCCACATTAATCTTCCTGCCGTTGCACTTTCTGTCTTCTCCAAGAGTCTAGCTTTTATGAGAACAAAATAGTCATATCTTCTTTAAAGAAGAGTTTCCAGTGTAAAGACTAAAAGTTTAAGTTAATTGTAAATGAAAGACTCCAGTTAGAGGAGAAAATATTTCATTTTCAGATGACTGTTTCAGAACACAATTACTATATTGAAGACGACTCTCACTATAGCCACATTAATTACGTCTATTTCAATTTAAGGAGACACAGCAACAAATCTTACCTCTCTGAAAAGAAATCAAATCTGAAACATGGTGGACAAGTATGAGTCCTGACCAAGAGATTTTCTTGGAAGACATAGATTGACTTGTAGCAAATGTTATCAGAAGTAGTAAAATCTTACACTTTATTTTTATAGAAAACAGACAATAAAAATCTTTCTAAATTAATGCATAGGTACTTTTGTAAAAATAACGTAAAAATATCTGATTAACTTAGATACATAAGTTCTTTAAGTTCCAAAATAAAGAATGAGAGAAGTTTATAGTTTGTCTGACTTGTATTCTTTTTGATCCATAATTAATTCCATAGATAGAATAATTTATAATGTAACTTTAATCATTACAACCTTTGATCAAAAATATACAGATATTCTTAATTTTTCTTCTCATATTTACTTAAATTATTTTTCATTGCTTTAATATTTCTTTATTCACTTGTCCCACAATAGTTCACTAAGTTTGGTATTTCTTGGTTTTGTAAAAAATTTCCCAATTCAGCTCCTGAGCACAATTAGTACTCTTCTCTCCTCTTTGTATTCTTTTTAGGTCCAACCCCATGGCTTTCCTTTTGTACTCTCTAGGCCAAGAATGTTCTTTCTTCTTCCTACCATTTAACCGTTATTCATTTCTCATGGCTGTATTAGTCTGCTTTCACACTGTCATAAAAGACTTTCCTGAGACTGGGTAATTTATAAAGGAAAAAAGGTTTAATTGACTCACAGTTCTGCATGCTGGAGAGGCCTCAGGAAACTTACCATGATGGTGGGAGGAGAAGCAGACACATCTTCTATGGTGGCAGGCAAGGGAGAAAGTAAGCATGTGAAGGAGGAACTGTCAAACACTTATAAACCCATCAGATCTCTTGAGAACTTAACTCATTATCATGAGAACAGCATGGGGGAAGCTGCTGCCATGATCCAATCACCTCCCACCAGGTTCCTTCCTTTATATGTGGGGATTACAATTGAAGATGAGATTTGGGTGGGGACACAGAGCCAAACCATATCAATGGCCAAAATAATATATATTTTTCTTTTCTCATCTATTCCTGACTATGTCCTTTCTGAATTTCTTCCATACTTTCAACCTGACCCACAAAAGGCAGAGCTTACTCATATTTCTTATCCTGTTATTTAAAAATTAATTTTGCTTGAGTTTGAGAATAATGGTCAATAGGCAGGGGACAAGCAGGCCATCAACAGCATCCTTTATTTTGGCAGAAATTATTCTGAATCAAACTTACCTTGTCATGGGTATAATTACATGATCTCAAAAAGAATTAAAAATCTCTATCACTTGAACCACAGTTTCCCTTAGCATATTTAATATACTTCATTTTTGTCAGCTAACAAATGTTAGCTAATATTTTTACCATCAAGAAGAATATCCTTTGGCAAAAGTATCTCTGTTTCCTTAGTACATATTGAGAGAGTTGTACCCCATGGCCTCCCAACTTGCTCAGGAATGGAGAAGCTAGGGTATCCAGATAGGTAATCTTCTGTTATGATACTTATATGCTGACTGTACACGGTGTCAAATCTGGGTCTTGACCTAGCAGGCACACATTAACACAACATGAAGGAAGGAAAAAGTCATTTATGAAACTACAATGGCTGCAGTAGTTATTTGGTAGTCCTCTTTTTAAAAATTTCCTTTTAAGTGAAATGAAAGTTTATAAGTGATCATACTGTAAATGATATGACATTTTATAATGTTTTATTACAAAAACTCAAACACTCCGGGAGTGAATTAAATGTAAATTGAAATCTTCCTCTCTCTACAATTCCACTTGCCTCATGATTTCCTCTATTCCTTAGAAATCCACCGACAACAATTTAATTAGAACTCAAATACTCTCACTCATAAAACGCATATGTGTACTTTTTTAAAAGTGAGATTATGCTAATTATGATTTGTAGTGAACTGATATTTCATTTGAAAATACATTGGATATCTTGCCGTCATTTAAAATGACTGTAAAATGTTAATTTTTACCAGTATTTTTATAAAACATATCTATTGAAAATTCAAGTCTTTACCATCTTTGCATTTTTTTTAAACTTGTATAATGAACAGCTTTGCAAATATTAGTTAGCTCACTGTTTCAACTATTTAATAGAGATCTAATCTGAGGAGTTCAGAATTTTCAACTCTCTCAGGACCATTCCTTTGGAGTGATTTTGGAAATGTAGGTTATTTTTGGTTGTATCGATGATGGAGACATGATGAGCACTTACAAGTAAAGGGCAGAGATCACATGCAGCATGCATTGGGCCAAACAGTGCATTGAGACAAACAGTCCTGTATAAGGAAGAATTGCTTCTTATGAAGGCCCAATAGTACCTCTTGGAGAAACATGGCAACATGAAGTATTTCACTGTCTACTTTAAGAAATATTGCACTGTTTGTGCATTTTACAATAAACATCTATTGATCTTATAATCTGCAAAATTATAATATACTATTATTTAAAGTTCTTTTTTGTTTTGTTTTGTTTTTGTTTGTTTGTTTGTTTTTTTGAGACAGAGTGTTGCTCTGTCACCCAGGCTGGAGTGCAGTGGCACAATCTTGGCTCAATACAACCTCCACCTCCCGGGTTTGAGTGATTTCTTGTGCCTCAGTTTCACAAGTAGCTGAGACTACAGGCACATGCCACCATGCCCGGCTAATTTTTGTATTTTTGTGTTTTTAGTAGAGAAGGGGTTTCACCATATCGGCCAGGCTGGCCATGAACCCCTGTCCTCAAGTGATCCACACACTTTGACCTCCCAAAGTGCTGGGATTACAGGTGTGAGCTACCATGCCTGGCCTATTATTCTAAGGATTTAATCTTCTCCCATCCCAACAGCAATGGAATTTTTCAATAAATCCAAAAAATTATTTCTTTGAAAGGACAAACAAATTAGATGACAAAAAAGAGAGAGCCTATTAAAATATAACAAGAAAAATGGAAAACTGGATAACTGAAAATTTCAAAAGAATGTAATATGTACCTTTTGGTCATTATATTTGAAAATATATATGAAGAGGTTAATTTTTTAGGGAAAATTTAACTATAAAAATAAATCTAGAGAAATGAGATCATTTGAAGATACCAACAATAGAAAAAAATGAAACCGGTGTAAAGTTATAGCACCTTTAAAAGCTCAAGGCCCAGCTGTGTCTCAAGCAGGTCCTCTTAAACTTAATGGAAAAGTTAATTCCTGCATTCTTCAAACTATTCTTTTGGTTAATGGGAGCAAAGGAAGCATATCTCTCCCTCCATTTATTTCTTAAAACAACTGAAAACCAAAAGAAAAATCAATATACAAAGAAAAAAAAACTCCACCAACTTTGTTAAAAATAAACACCATTAAAATTATAAACCAAACTTTGAAGACTAGTTGTTAGTGCCATTACAATTTAGCCTTTCTTCAAAAAATGATGAGAGTAGATGCAGGCACCTGAGCAACTATGGCATGTTAAACACATAGAGAGACTTATTTTCCCACCTGAAACTATAACATGATGACAAATGGCTTATTCAAGTGATATAAAAAGAAAACAGCAACATTTTTGAAAATAGGAAGTCCATAAATGGCTGGTAACTGACTTAGCTTACCAAAAAGTGTAAAATTGTAAGTAGCGGGGAAATCTGATTCTACAAAATGTTCATAAATTGGTTGCAGGGGATACCTCTGAAAGTAGAAGTAAAGGTAGGGCTAAAACCCAGGAAGATTGGTTGAAAGACTGTTTCCAATGTCCACTCCATCAAGCTGCATGAATGCCTCTAGGTTCTGCTGGTGGAAAAGTAGACATTTGCTGTCTAGAGAGGTAACAAGGAATCTTAGTACTGGCAATATCATCTTCAATGGTCATACATAAATTAGGGGTGCAAAATGAACAGTAACTACTGAAAGCTAGATCTCCCCAATTTTCACCTCTATCTAGATTCAAAACATAACAGTCTATTAGTCTTATATCCTCAGAGAAGACTGGAAGACTCTAGTTGGAAGATCATGATCAGCCCAAAGGAATAGACCAGTGGATATGTCATGAGGAGCTTTTCTGGGAAAACTTCTCGACCTGATTGCCCTGTCTGGAAGCCACAGTTGACAATTATTACCTAAGAACCTGAAGCTTACCGTAAACATTTATTGTATTGCTCTTGAACGCAAACAGATAACAAACAATCATGAGATTCTAGGTACAGCCAATAACAAACACAGAAACAAAAAATAAACAAAACAACTGAAAGTAAACAGAGCCTATACAGTGTGGGAAAAAAGTAATTATTAATTTCCTCAGAGAGGGAAGATAAGATAATACAACAAGAACAAGGTGTGATATAAAATGGATATTCAAAAAAATAGAATTCTTAAAAATTAAGAAATTTATTGCAGAAATATATAACTTAATGGGAGATTTGGAAGGTAAAGCTGACTGCATCTGCAGAAAAGTTAGTGTAAACAGAGTTGGGAATGAGAAAGGGAAAGTTTAATGAATTAAATAATTGGTCCTATAGGGCCAGCAACAAAATACAGGCATTTGGGAAAAGAAAAAAGTACAATGAAGTATGATATATGTAAATAATTTTTTGAAATGGGTAAGAGTTAAAGTGTATGAATTTCAGATTGAATGTATCCACCAGAATTCAAGCCAGTGGTGAAAATAGACCTAGACCAATGCACACACACACACACACACACACACCAGCACACTCAGGAAAAAAAAAAAAAAAAAGAAGACACTTAAAATTTCCAGAGAAGAGAAATATAAATGGTCACTAGAAAACAAGCAAAGCCTTATAAATTGAAAAACAAATTATTTCTAATGCAGAATAGTATCTCCAACCAAACTAAATCAGATAGGAGGAAACAATAATAAGCATTTACAGCATGGCAAGATTCTAAAACTCTACATCCAATACATCCTATCTCAGGAATTTACTGGAGAAGAGTTTCACTAAAATGAGGAAGTAAATGAAGAAAGAGTAGGGTATAAAGTACAGGTAATCTCCTGATTATTAGATGTACAGTATGTGTACACAGCAACCTGTGTAAATTAGAGCTATTTAGAAAAAAATTTTCAAAAAGATAAATCTGATAAAATGTCTAATGCTTCTGAATGCATTATGAGACTCATTAGAAAACTGGAGTAGAGTTTGGAATTGGTACTTTGATACATACATAGAAAAATGAAAAAAACAAAAATTTTAAAAAATTGTCAGTTTAACGGAAAAAAATGTTGTGTAGACATGAAATTCAATCATTTATGCTCCATGTTTCAGGTGTGAGTAACATTTACCTAATTATAACAGTACTAGTGTTACTGGAAAAAGAGGTCCGATCCACACTTCAAGAGAGGGTTTTTGGGCCTCACACAGGAAAGAATTCAAGGTGAGTCACAGAGTAAAATGAGAAGAAGACATAGTTTATTGAAAGCTACTGCCTTTTAGAGTAGGGCGTCCTCAGAAAGCAAGCAAAGGAATGCACCCTCTTTGTTTTCAGTTTTTCTGTTATAGGAGTTTTGTCTATGTAAAGACTACATTGAATTGTCTATGTAAAGACTAAATTGGAAACAAAATAACAAGAAGAAGGAATTTATGCATAATCTTCAAATCATGAGGAGTAAAATTCATACAGGACCTACCGCTTAAAGAGTTTCATAGTGGTTACCAGTAGTCATTTTGTGATGTTTATCGATGTGATTCTTGAATGTAAAAAGAACTACATATAAGATTTCATATTCTGAATTAATGTGCAGCATATTATGTTAAATTGTTAACCAATTTAAAAAATTTTTGAGTTTAAATTAGAAATCTTGTTGTTCTATTTATAAATCTAGTACATTAAAAATTATTTTTAAGGGGGACTTTGATTAATGTTTGGTCCATTTACAACTTAGTTAATTAAACTCCCTTAAAGATTTTAAACTACATTTACAAATTTAATATGTTGAATTATCTTTATGAACATTTTAATTATCGGACTAACAAATAAAGCCTTCAGAGTACTTAAACAACCCTTATAGAGCTAATAAATTAAACCCACAAAATCATGAATCTTAAATTATCTTCAATGTTAAACCACTACTGGCAACTCGGTAAAACCGCTTATAATTTCAACTAAAAAAAAACCCCAATATCTAAAATATTCTGTTACACATTGAAAATTGGAATGTAAAATGCTAATCTATATTTAAATACTAATACAATTATAAATAAATATCACATCTCTAAAGTATAAATGTTATAGTTTTCATATACTTCATCATCTCTAAACTTTTTTTCAATGTTTTCCTGGGATAAAAAAAATCATAAAAACAATTACATTCTCTTAAGCAAATGAGGTTATCACCTCAGTGAGTTGTGGCAACTTTTTCAGGTTGTTTACCTATCAGAGATTTTGACTGGAAAATGAGATTTGGAGCTTCAGATACTCAGGGTAATTGTTTTTCCCTCATTAATATGGGAACAAATTCTAACATTGTAAAAGTTATGTTAATAGAGATTCCAAGCCCATGAACTCTAAGTGAAATGGCCATGCAATCCGTTTTCTAGATCCATGTTGCCTACATCTTTAGCCTGATTTTAATATCTAACCTCCCTACTCTGATTGTTTAGGTACTAGATTAAATTCAAAAATCTATTTACTGTATGATTCTTGACAGAGTTCTTTTTATATTCTTCATACCTGGTGAAGTCATAGCTTTTCTGGATATTTAAATGACATACACATGTATTATTTAATCTCATGTATATATCTGATTCTGTGGTCACATTTCCCAAGGCCAGATAAATGACTGTAGCCAGACAGATGTAGGGCTAGGTGTAAAAGGAGATATTCCCACAGATTATATAGTTGCTGTGTAGAGAAAACACTCTATGTTTTTCCTCTAGTCTCACACCACAAAGATCAATCAGCAACACAGAAGACTTCTGTGACCAAATGTGTGCATTTTTTCCTCCATACCTACACCAAGGAGCAGACACCAGCTGAGTGTCCTCTAATTCAGTTCTGACACTACACTGTCTACCTGGAGATAGTGTCAGGTCTCACAGGTCAGTCCCCAAGACTGCCCACCCTCAACCTACCAGCCACAAGCCCAGGCCTCTGAACTTCTGACCTACTGGCTTCAAGTTGGGTTCTCATGACCCCCTCTTTGGGTTTGATTAATTTGTTGGAGTGGCTCACGGAACTCAGGGAAACACTTACATTTCATGGTGTATTATAAAGGATATTGCAAAGGACATAGATGAAGAGACATTTAGAGCAATGCATGGGGGAAGGGAGCAGAGCTTCCATGTCATCCCTGGGTGGGCCACCCTCCAGGAACATCCATGTGTTCAACTGCCCAGAAGATCACTGAACCCTGTCCTCCTGGATTTTCATGGAAGTTTCATGATATCAGCATTCCTCCCTCCAGGGTATAGGGTGGGACTCTCTCCTGAGATCGTCTTAAGAGCCACAACCAGAAAGGCAGGAACATAAAAATGAAAAAAGGCCATGAGAAGGTGAGAAGCCTGCTCCTGAGACCTAACACAGCCAATATTATAACAAAAGATTGTAACAAGAGCTAGGGGAGTTATAAGCCAGGAACTGTGGATGAAAACCAATATACATCATAACACCACAGTTGCTGAGAAAATATTCATGGAAAATAGACCTAAATTGATACTGCCTGTTGACATAATTTACTTTACTGATCTTTTCCTTCACCATTTTAATAAATAGCTCAGACAATAATGAGTCCAATTCAAAAATAATAATAGAAAAGACACCAGCACTGTGCCTGTGTAACATATATTTCATGTTAGAGAAAAGCAACAAAGACAATATAATATTAAAAGACAGAAAAAAATTACATGCCACATTGACTATCATTGAATCACAAAGTGAATACAAATTTTTAATGCATTGTTTCATTAAATCAAATTCCCCTTCCCGCACCAATACAACTCCTCTGATGTAAGTGACCTAAAAAGACATAAATAGGTTTTAAAGCAGATATAAGATAAATGCAATATATGTAGAGTGACTTTAGGGAAAGATAAAAGGAAAAATACCTTTTATCTGAGAAATATATATCACACTAGAAACAGCAAGAATGAAGAATAGATATTTTCAAAATTTACTCAAATAAATGGGTATAAGAAAAAAATCGAGCAAAACAAAATGGAAAAGAATAAATAGGTAACAAGGGTAGAACAATATTTATAGTTGTTTGAAGACAGACAAAGCTGACCTAACATGTTACCATGTATATTTTATCCAGTTTTCCAATTTTGTTTTTATTGCTGGAAAGTTAATTTGGTCAGAGTTATTTCACCATATTAGCAAGTATAATTTTCAAAACTCACACCCCTTACTTTTTGTATCTTATTTTTTATCCTTTTATTACATATTTTATAATATTATATATTCTATACTGAATTATACAGTAAATAAAAAATAAAATATGAACACAACAATTTCATAGAAATGGTGAGTTTTTTTTTTAATTGAGGCAGAAGTTCATGACTTGAAAATAGAATGATGCAGTAAAGAAATAAACTCAAGAACTCATTTTATGGAAAACGTGAAAACAATTTGCAACATTAAAATAATTAATCAGAACCTCAATCCAGATTAAGAAGGAATAGAGAACAAATATTCAAATTGGAAGGCAATGAAAATATAATCACAGATATTGATCAAGTAATTAGATAAGATCATTTTCTTAATTTTACACAAATATATTGGAAACCCTGGATTATATGATTTTTTCCATATGAAAATATAAGTGACCAAAATGACAAGAGTTATAAGATCTCAGTATCTTATTAATGCAGAAAAAGATGTTGAAGATATAAAATTCTGAACATTCTCCTCTCAATAAACAGACACCAACTCGTCATCTGGCATTAGGTATATCTCCCAATGCTATCCTTCCCACCTACCCCCACCCCACAACAGAAAGTGCACCGGCATGGCACATGTATACATATGTAACTAACCTGCACATTGTGCACATGTTCCCTAAAACTTAAAGTATAATAATAATAAATAAATAAATAAATAAAAACTTTTAAATAAAAAAAATGGGGACCATTTGCTTATGTGGTTATTAAGGTCAAATGTAAGTCATGATTTTCCTCGACCAGCTCTGAAAAAATGTCTGTTCTGGTTAAGACTGGGTAAAATGGATGATTTATTTATTCAATAAAGTTATTGAATGCTCGCCGTGTGCAAGATACAGTGTTGAATGTGGTGCGAGATATAAAGATGTGGAAGAAAAAGCCACTGAAAATAATATGAGGAAATAAAAAACTAGAGTAAATTATCAGTGGAATAATTTCTATTACACAAGACACTACACCCAAACATTCTCCTAATGCTCATGTAAGAATTTCTCCAAAAATACCTTCCAGCACTACAAACTAGAAGACAAAAGAGACATGGATACCAAATTAAGTTCTTAATAGTGAAGAATAAAAGAGACTACCTTGCCTGCTCCAGTGGATCCAGCAACAGCCAACAACTGTCCTCTTTCTATCTTGAAATATCTTTCAGGACAGGAGTACCAAGAAGTGAGAAATTACTGAAGAAGAGGCTATCATCACCATTAGAAGTTTTTCTGTTGTTATTGTTTTGTTTTCTCAAATAATTCCCCAAATCCCTGTTAAAAAAAAACACACACACACATCAAAAATAAAAGATGAGTTTGTCAGAAAAAAAAAAAAAAACAGACAAATCAGCAGGCATGAACATTTTCAGGAAGAAATGTATCAAGATATGAAAGTACTGATAACTCAATGCTATTTAAAGTTTTCCTCTTTTAATTCTAGCTATGAAAAATTAATTTGTATTAGGCCATCCCACTTGGCAAGAACAATTATGAAAGCTGGATAAAATTAATTAAAAATAAGTAGCTATTTAAGGGCTTCTGATAGCAATCAAAGTATCCAGAACTTGAGTGTGTAAGCTCTCATAAAGAAGAGAAACACATTGAATTGATTTCAACATTCTCCACAACCTTTCATTTGGATACATTTGCTGAGCAGATAGCTAAGAAGAAAATGGTAGCTCAAAGATGTTAGAAATCTGGTAGGCCTGCATAGACAACAATTGGAATTC